>NC_000006.12:160676850-160828365 GCF_000001405.40 Homo sapiens
TAATTGAACAGGGCATTGATCAGTGCACAGAATGTCTGACTGAGGCGCCACGAAGAGGCTGTAAAATTGCAAACACGTTGTGTGCCCAGAGCAACTTGTTCCATCCTTGCTTGGATCCTCCACTTCTTCCTCAGTGAATGTTACTACACCATGGTTGTAAGAATCTAGTGAAATACTTGATACCAAATGAAAGTGTGAACATTGAGATGAATGTTTTCAAAGCTGCAACATGTATGGGGAGTCATGCGAACTGGTTCTCTTATTGGGAATGAAGTCTGTCACTGACTGCTTGACTTGAGCCCAGCCCATGGGACACGGAGCAGAAGGGTGTATATCATGGAGTGAACTGGGCCATGGACATGTAACAGAAGACCAGCTGAGAGTCTGAATGTTATTCTGGGGCACATGTGAGTCTAGGATTGGTGCCAAGAGCATGTAAATGAACAACAAGCAAATATTGAAGGTGGACCATTTGTTTTTCCTTGCTAATTGGCTGCCCAATTTTGAAACAGTCTGCAGCACACACTGTCACATGGGAATGATGTTTTACAGTGACACATATTTAGAAGGGAGAGAAAGGATAAATACATGTTTTACAATTTAAAATTTTCACTATTACCAAACAAAAATATCCACTCAAAATACAACTCAACAATGCAGCAGTCATCTAATAGCAAAGAAATGCAGAGAAAAGCAAAACTGCAGGTGACTATGAATAAAGGGTGAATGTAGTCTCAAATCCTCAAAGAGCTGTGTTTATTTCATTGATTCAATGAATGAATTGAATAAATACTCGTATTCAATTCTGATGTGCTTTAAGGATGAATATGCTCATTTTACACTTAGCACACACTTTGTCCCCTGTTCTCTTTATAGAAAGTTTCTTCCTCATTGTTAAGGTTTCCCTTTGGTACCAATTTTCCCTGTCCACTTAAAGTATTTCATTTAAAAAACTCAGCATAAAATATACACTGAGTCTGAAAAGAGTCTGAAAGTGGTATGTGAGCTCTGGCATCTCCACTGAGCTCACTGTTCCCCTGCAGTTGTTCTTTTCCCAGTAGCTGTTTCTTGTCCTTCTTTCTTTGTGGAACCTCTCCCTGTGCATACACAGCTTTGTATTTAGCCAAAGACTTGAGGACTTTTTTTTTTTTTTTTTTTTTGAGATGAAGTCTCGCTCTTGTCGCCCTGGCTGGAATGCAATGGCACGATCTTGGCTCACTGCAACCTTCGCCTCTCAGATTCAAGCGATTCTCCTGCCTCAGACTCCCAAGTAGCTGGGATTACAGGCGCGTGCCACCATGCCCAGCTAATTTTTTTTTTTTTTTTTTTTTTAGTAGAGATGGGGTTTGAACATGTTGGCCAGGCAGGTCTCGAACTCCTGGCCTCAGGTGATCTGCCCACCTTGGCTTCCCAAAGTGCTGGGATTACAGGAGTGAGCCACTGCACCCGGCCTATTGTTTCTCAAATAAGGGCAAGAAATTTAAAGAGAAAATAGGAAGTACCTTCCCCCACTGTAACTTATGAAGTAAGAAGCTAATTTATCATGTGGTAAAAAGGAACCAAATAAAACCTGTGTCTCAACATGTTAGGAGCACTGCTTCAGTGAAATCAGTGAAGTAAGTGCCCATATTAGTCACGCATTGATACACATACTTATTTTCCTAAGTGAATTCTCCACAATTCTGAAAATCAGTGAAAAGATCATCTCATGTTAGTTCTACACAAAACCAAGCAGCGCATGTGACTCTCCCTGTGTCAGGGCATACGCATCCCTTTCCACCGAGGATCAATGTGCCCTATGGGAAGCAACTTCTTGCCTTTCAAACCAAATTCAGTAAATAAAAATTGTTTTGTATAGCTGACATAGGATCACATCAATTGCACGAAAAAGGTCAGTCTGTGCAAGGAACTTACAACGTCGAATGGGGCATGTTAAGAAGGCGTAACCCATCACACTGGCTTTTCTGCTGTTCGAATTTTTTTCTGGTCAAAAATACAGGTGCTAGGACTCCCTGAGCCCAGCAGGTGTTAGAACAGAGGAAGGCAGAGGGCGGCCTCCTGCAAAACATCTCCTACTCCTGCCAGTTTCTAATCCAGGGTCCAGGGGCTGGAGCATCCGGGCTCCCGGTGCTTGCGCTTGGAAACAGAAATGCCCTCCCACAAGCCCCACTTCTCTCAGGGGCTCCGACCCACCTACCTGAGGATCAGTCCGGGAGCCAGCGTCTGGACAGAGCGGGGTCGCGCCCTGGAACACAGGGCAGGAGAGGAAGGAGAAAAGCCCAGCTGACAGCGCAGGGGCGAGCGTCCTGCCTTTCCCAGCGGCCTTGGCCTGACCATCCTGGCCCTGCGGGAGGGGGTCCGCCCACCCGCGCCCTGTCCATGTCTCCGCCCCGTTCCAGCGCCCCGTGTCCGCGCCCTCCTCCTGTCCCTTGCCACCGCCTCGTGTCCCTCATACCGCGCCTCCGCGGAGCGCAGGCTGCCTTGGTCCGGTCCCGCCTTGGACCCTCGCCTTCGCTCCAGAAGAATCAGTGTCCTCCGGGCGGCCACGGGCCCGCTGCGGCTCCCACCCTGGCGCCCCTGCATTGCTCTCCCCACTCTCAGCCTCACCCCCCACCCACTACTACCACCTCGTATTTTGCAGCCTCAGGACATGAACCATCTGCTGCCTGAAGTCGCTTGGGATACAGCCCGCGAAGCCCGCGACAGGTTTTGGGAGCCGGACACTCCCTCCCACCTGAGGCATGGGCAAAGTGTGGGGTCTGCTGCCCCCTGTCGGTGTGGCTGACGTTCGCTTCTCTTTCCACGCTGCCCAGCAGTGTTCCAACTGGAACATTCCTTTTTTTTTTTTTTTAATTAATGTATTTGTTTATTTATTTATTGTTATTATACTTTAAGTTTTAGGATACATGTGCACAATGTGCAGGTTAGTTACATATGTATACATGTGCCATGCTGGTGCGCTGCACCCACTAACTCGTCATCTAGCATTAGTTATATCTCCCAGTGCTATCCCTCCCCCCTCCCCCCACCCCACAACAGTCCCCAGAGTGTGATGTTCCCCTTCCTGTGTCCATGTGTTCTCATTGTTCAATTCCCACCTATGAGTGAGAATATGTGGTGTTTGGTTTTTTGTTCTTGCGATAGTTTACTGAGAATGATGATTTCCAGTTTCATCCATGTCCCTACAAAGGACATGAACTCATCGTTTTTTATGACTGCATAGTATTCCATGGTGTATATGTGCCAATTTTCTTAATCCAGTCTATCATTGTTGGACATTTGGGTTGGTTCCAAGTCTTTGCTATTGTGAATAATGCCCCAATAAACATACATGTGCATGTGTCTTTATAGCAGCATGATTTATAGTCCTTTGGGTATATACCCAGTAATGGGATGGCTGGGTCAAATGGTATTTCTAGTTCTAGATCCCTGAGGAATCACCACACTGACTTCCACAATGGTTGAACTAGTTTACAGTCCCACCAACAGTGTAAAAGTGTTCCTATTTCTCCACATCCTCTCCAGCACCTGTTGTTTCCTGACTTTTTAATGATTGCCATTCTAACTGGTGTGAGATGGTAACTCATTGTGGTTTTGATTTGCATTTCTCTGATGGCCAGTGATGGTGAGCATTTTTTCATGTGTTTTTTGGCTGCATAAATGTCTTCTTTTGAGAAGTGTCTGTTCATGTCCTTCGCCCACTTTTTGATGGGGTTGTTTGTTTTTTTCTTGTAAATTTGTTTGAGTTCATTGTAGATTCTGGATATTAGCCCTTTGTCAGATGAGTAGATTGCAAAAATTTTCTCCCATTCTGTAGGTTGCCTGTTCACTATGATGGTAGTTTCTTTTGCTGTGCAGAAGCTCTTTAGTTTAATTCAATCCCATTGGTCAATTTTGGCTTTTGTTGCCATTGCTTTTGGTGTTTTAGACATGAAGTCCTTGCCCATGCCTATGTCCTGAATGGTAATGCCTAGGTTTTCTTCTAGGGTTTTCATGGTTTTAGGTCTAACGTTTAAGTCTTTAATCCATCTTGAATTGATTTTTGTATAATTTGTTAAGGAAGGGATCCAGTTTCAGCTTTCTACTTATGGCTAGCCAGTTTTCCCAGCACCATTTATTAAATAGAGAATCCTTTCCCCGTTGCTTGTTTTTCTCAGGTTTGTCAAAGATCAGATAGTTGTAGATATGCGGCGTTATTTCTGAGGGCTCTGTTCTGTTCCATTGATCTATATCTCTGTTTTGGTACCAGTACCATGCTGTTTTGGTTACTGTAGCCTTGTAGTATAGTTTGAAGTCAGGTAGTGTGATGCCTCCAGCTTTGTTCTTTTGGCTTAGGATTGACTTGGCAATGCGGGCTCTTTTTTGGTTCCATATGAACTTTAAAGTAGTTTTTTCCAATTCTGTGAAGAAAGTCATTGGTAGCTTGATGGGGATGGCATTGAATCTGTAAATTACCCTGGGCAGTATGGCCATTTCCACGATATTGATTCTTCCTACCCATGAGCATGGAATGTTCTTCCATTTGTTTGTGTCCTCTTTTATTTCCTTGAAGAGTGGTTTGTAGTTCTCCTTGAAGAGGTCCTTCACGTCCCTTGTAAGTTGGATTCCTAGGTATTTTATTCTCTTTGAAGCAATTGTGAATGGGAGTTCACTCATGATTTGGCTCTCTGTTTGTCTGTTGTTGGTGTATAAGAATGCTTGTGATTTTTGTACATTGATTTTGTATCCTGAGACTTTGCTGAAGTTGCTTATCCACTTAAAGAGATTTTGGGCTGAGACAATGGGGTCTTCTAGATATACAATCATGTCATCTGCAAACAGGGACAATTTGACTTCCTCTTTTCCTAATTGAATACCCTTTATTTCCTTCTCCTGCCTGATTGCCCTGGCCAGAACTTCCAACACTATGTTGAATAGGAGTGGTGAGAGAGGGCATCCCTGTCTTGTGCCAGTTTTCAAAGGGAATGCTTCCAGTTTTTGCCCATTCAGTATGATATTGGCTGTGGGTTTGTCATAGATAGCTCTTATTATGTTGAAATACATCCCATCAATACCTAATTTATTGAGAGTTTTTAGCATGAAGGTTGTTGAATTTTGTCAACAGTCTCTTCTGCATCTATTGAGATAATCATGTGGTTTTTGTCTTTGGCTCTGTTTATATGCTGGATTACATTTATTGATTTGCGTATATTGAACCAGCCTTGCATCCCAGGGATGAAGCCCACTTGATCATGGCGGATAAGCTTTTTGATGTGCTGCTGGATTCGGTTTGCCAGTATTTTATTGAGGATTTTTGCATCAATGTTCATCAAGGATATTGGTCTAAAATTCTCTTTTTTCATTGTGTCTCTGCCCGGCTTTGGTATCAGGATGATGCTGGCCTCATAAAATGAGTTAGGGAGGATTCCCTCTTTTTCTATTGATTGGAATAGTTTCAGAAGGAATGGTACCAGTTCCTCCTTGTACCTCTGGTAGAATTCGGCTGTGAATCCATCTGGTCCTGGACTCTTTTTGGTTGGTAAGCTATTGATTATTGCCACAATTTCAGATCCTGTTATTGGTCTATTCAGAGATTCAACTTCTTCCTGGTTTAGTCTTGGGAGAGTGTATGTGTCGAGGAATTTATCCATTTCTTCTAGATTTTCTAGTTTATTTGCGTAGAGGTGTTTGTAGTATTCTCTGATGGTAGTTTGTATTTCTGTGGGATTGGTGGTGATATCCCCTTTATGATTTTTTATTGCGTCTATTAGATTCTTCTCTCTTTTTTTCTTTATTAGTCTTGCTAGTGGTCTATCTATTTTGTTGATCCTTTCAAAAAACCAGCTCCTGGATTCATTAATTTTTTGAAGGGTTTTTTGTGTCTCTATTTCCTTCAGTTTTGCTCTGATTTTAGTTATTTCTTGCCTTCTGCTAGCTTTTGAATGTGTTTGCTCTTGCTTTTCTAGTTCTTTTAATTGTGATGTTAGGATGTCAATTTTGGATCTTTCCTGCTTTCTCTTGTGGGCATTTAGTGCTATAAATTTCCCTCTACACACTGCTTTGAATGCGTCCCAGAGATTCTGGTATGTTGTGTCTTTGTTCTCGTTGGTTTCAAAGAACATCTTTATTTCTGCCTTCATTTTGTTATGTACCCAGTAGTCATTCAGGAGCAGGTTGTTCAGTTTCCATGTAGTTGAGCGGTTTTGAGTGAGATTCTTAATCCTGAGTTCTAGTTTGATTGTACTGTGGTCTGAGAGATAGTTTGTTATAATTTCTGTTCTTTTACATTTGCTGAGGAGAGCTTTACTTCCAAGTATGTGGTCAATTTTGGAATAGGTGTGGTGTGGTGCTGAAAAAAATGTATATTGTGTTGATTTGGGGTGGAGAGTTCTGTAGATGTCTATTAGGTCTGCTTGGTGCAGAGCTGAGTTCAATTCCTGGGTATCCTTGTTGACTTTCTGTCTCGTTGATCTGTCTAATGTTGACAGTGGGGTGTTAAAGTCTCCCATTATTAATGTGTGGGAGTCTAAGTCTCTTTGTAGGTCACTCAGGACTTGCTTTATAAATCTGGGTGCTTCTGTATTGGGTGCATATATATTTAGGATAGTTAGCTCTTCTTGTTGAATTGATTCCTTTACCATTATGTAATGGCCTTCTTTGTCTCTTTTGATCTTTGTTGGTTTAAAGTCTGTTTTATCAGAGACTAGTATTGCAACCTCTTCCTTTTTGTGTTTTCCATTTGCTTGGTAGATCTTCCTCCATCCTTTTATTTTGAGCCTATGTGTGTCTCTGCACATGAGATGGGTTTCCTGAATACAGCACACTGATGGGTCTTGACTCTTTATCCAATTTGCCAGTCTGTGTCTTTTAATTGGAGCATTTAGTCCATTTAAATTTAAAGTTAATATTGTTATGTGTGAATTTGATCCTGTCATTATGATGTTAGTTGGTTATTTTGCTCGTTAGTTGATGTAGTTTCTTCCTAGTCTCAATGGTCTTTACATTTTGTCATGATTTTGCAGCAGCTGGTACCGGTTGTTCCTTTCCATGTTTAGCGCTTCCTTCAGGAGCTCTTTTAGGGCAGGCCTGGTGGTGACAAAATCTCTCAACAATTGCTTGTCTGTAAAGTATTTTATTTCTCCTTCACTTATGAAGCTTAGTTTGGCTGGATATGAAATTCTGGGTTGAAAATTCTTTTCTTTAAGAATGTTGAATATTGGCCCCCACTCTTTTCTGGCTTGTAGAGTTTCTGCCGAGAGATCCACTGTTAGTCTGATGGGCTTCCCTTTGAAGGTAACCCGACCTTTGTCTCTGGCTGCCCTTAACCTTTTTTCCTTCATTTCAACTTTGGTGAATCTGACAATTATGTGTCTTGGAGTTGCTCTTCTCGAGGAGTATGTTTGTGGCGTTCTCTGTATTTCCTGAATCTGAATGTTGGCCTGCCTTGCTAGATTGGGGAAGTTCTCCTGGATGATATCCTGCAGAGTGTTTTCCAACTTGGTTCCATTCTCCCCGTCACTTTCAGGTACACCAATCAGACGTAGATTTGGTCTTTTCACATAGTCCCATATTTCTTGGAGGCTTTGCTCGTTTCTTTTTATTCTTTTTTCTCTAAACTTCCCTTCTCGCTTCATTTCATTCATTTCATCTTCCATCACTGAAACCCTTTCTTCCAGTTGATCGCATCGGCTCCTGAGGCTTCTGCATTCTTCACGTAGTTCTCGAGCCTTGGTTTTCAGCTCCATCAGCTCCTTTAAGCACTTCTCTGTATTGGTTATTCTAGTTAGACATTCTTCTAAATTTTTTTCAAAGTTTTCAACTTCTTTGCCTTTGGTTTGAATGTCCTCCCGTAGCTCAGAGTAATTTGATTGTCTGAAGCCTTCTTCTCTCAGCTCGTCAAAGTCATTCTCCGTCCAGCTTTGTTCTGTTGCTGGTGAGGAACTGCATTCCTTTGGAGGAGGAGAGGCGCTCTGCTTTTTAGAGTTTCCAGTTTTTCTGCTCTGTTTTTTCCCCATCTTTGTGGTTTTATCTACTTTTGGTCTTTGATGATGGCGATGTACAGATGGGTTTTTGGTGTGGATGTCCTTTCTGTTTGTTAGTTTTCCTTCTAACAGACAGGACCCTCAGCTGCAGATCTGTTGGAATACCCAGCCGTGTGAGGTGTCAGTCTGCCCCTGCTGGGGGATGCCTCCCAGTTAGGCTGCTCAGGGGTCAGGGGTCAGGGACCCACTTGAGGAGGCAGTCTGCCCGTTCTCAGATCTCCAGCTGCGTGCTGGGAGAACCACTGCTCTCTTCAAAGCTGTCAGACAGGGACATTTAAGTCTGCAGAGGTTACTGCTGTCTTTTTGTTTGTCTGTGCCCTGCCTGCAGAGGTGGAGCCTACAGAGGCAGGCAGGCCTCCTTGAGCTGTGGTGGGCTCCACCCAGTTCGAGCTTCCGGGCTGCTTTGTTTACCTAAGCAAGCCTGGGCAATGGCGGGCGCCCCTCCCCCAGCCTCGCTGCCGCCTTGCAGTTTGATCTCAGACTGCTGTGCTAGCAATCAGCAAGACTCCGTGGGCGTAGGACCCTCCGAGCCAGGTGCGGGATATAAACTCCCGGTGCACCGTTTTTTAAGCCCGTCGGAAAAGCGCAGTATTCGGGTGGGAGTGACCCGATTTTCCAGGTGCCGTCTGTCACCCCTTTCTTTGACTAAGAAAGGGAACTCCCTGACCCCTTGCACTTCCCGAGTGAGGCAATGCCTCGCCCTGCTTCGGCTGGCGCACAGTGCGCGCACCCACTGACCTGCGCCCGCTGTCTGGCACTCCCTAGTGAGATGAACCGGGTACCTCAGACGGAAATGCAGAAATCACCCTTCTTCTGCGTCGCTCACGCTGGGAGCTGTAGACCGGAGCTGTTCCTATTCAGCCATCTTGGCTCCTCCCTCCCAACTGGAACATTTCAAAGGCAAGGCTGAGATAAATGCTGTTTACAAATTCCAGAAAAGAAAAAAAAAACAATGCTGCTCTTCTGCTCAGCAATAGGTTTTCCCAGCCAAGCCAGCACTTCTGTGGGTTGTATTTAAGTCTTAAGTGTGTCAGAGCTGTTCCCTGCAGGCGCTGGTATTGTCCAAGGGGGGAAGTTTGAGGACAGTGTCTCTGAAAACTCCAAGCTTTTGGATGAAGCAACCTTTCCACATTAAGTATGTAACATAAGACCTGGTAGATATCTCCTATGATTTACCCATCATGCAAAAGGACTGAGTCTCTGCAAAACAGGGCTTTCAAAGAACCTTTTTCAGGAGAAGAAAATGTTGGAAGAGCTGATTCATTGCCTATTTGCTTTTGACTTGGCATCTAAACTGATCCCTGTAAAAGTATTTATGGGTATGGACAACAAATAATGAAAGGGATCAAAATCGGAATGTTTCATTCAGTTTAACCTGGCCCATGCAGTGCACTTCAGGCCATAGACTCTGGTTTGAACTCTGTGACTTCTACGATCCCTTGGCTTTGTTTGTTTCATTGCTTGGACCTTCAGACTGATCAGAGTTCTGTGAGTACAGTAGGTGCTCGATAAATGCTTATTCTGGGTACTACCATTGATGCCTGTGGCAGTGACTGCAGATGAGCAGGCTCCGGCAGCAGTGAGGTGTGGGGCTGGAGGTCCTGGCTCTGGCATCCAACCCTGCTCCATCCGCCACACTAGCTGTGTGACTTTGGGGAAGCTATGAACCTCTGCTGAACTCTATATTAGTAAGACGAGAGTGGTAGTAATAGCACCTCCCTCATAGGGTCAGAGTGAGGAGTAAATGAAATAGCCTGTGTAAAGGACCTAGTGTGGTGCCTCATATATGTGAAAACTACTCATGGAACAGGGGAGTAGTATCCAGAATATGCAAGGAACTCAAACATCTCCACAGCAAAAAAACCAACCCAATTAAAATATGGGCAAATGACTGGAGTAGACATTTCTCAAAGAAAACATATGAATGTCCAACGAATGAATGAAAATGTGCTCAACATCACTAATCCTCAGAGAAATGCAAACCTAAACCACAATGAGCTATTTTCTCACCCCAGTAAGGATGGCTATTATCAAAAAGACAAAAATAGCATGCTGGTGAGGATGCAGAAAAAAAGGGAACTTTTGTACATAGTTAGTAGGAATTTAAACTGCGCAATCACTCTGGAGAACAGTATGCAGGTTCCTTAAAAAACTACAAATAGAAGTACCATATGATCCAGCTATCTCACTACTGGGCTTTATCTAACAGAATGGAAATCATTATATCAAAGAGTCATCTGCAGCCCCAGGTTTATTGCAGCTCTCTTCACAATAACCAAGACATGGAATCAACCTAGTTGTCTGACCACACATGAATGGATAAAGAAAATGTGGTATATACATATCATGGAATACTATTCAGCCATAAAAAGAATGGAATCCTATCATTCACAGTAACATGAGTGACGTTAGAGGACATTATGTTAAATAAGCCAGGAACAGAAAGGTTAGCACTGCATGTTCTCACTCATATGTGTCAGCTAAAAGAGTTGAACACAGGAAGTAAAAAGTAGGACAGAAGGTACTAGAGGCTGAGAAGAATCCAGGGCAGGGAGGGATAGGAAGAAAGTTGTTAAAGGCTATAAAATTACAGCTTGATAGGAGGAATATGTTCTAGTGTTCTATACCACTGCAGGATGTCGACAATAATGAATAGTTTCAAATATCTAAAAGGGGGATGTTGAATATTCCCAACATAAATATATAAAAAATGATAAACGTTTGAGATGATGTATATGTTAATTACCCTGATTTGATCACTATACATTATATGTATTGAAAATCTCTATGTACACCATGAATATGTACAATTATTATTTGTTGATTAAAACTTTTTTTAGAAAAACTTGATCTTATAGAATTAGAAAGTAGAATAATGGTTATCAGAGGCTGAGAAGCAGAGTTGGGGAGAGGACAGTCAAGAGAGGTTGGTCAATGGGTTCAAAGTTCCAGTTAGAAATAATAAGTTCTGGTTGTTCTATTACACACTAAGGTGACTATAGCTAATAATAATGTATTGTATATTTCAAAATAAAACTTTTAAAAAAAAACTTGATCTCATAGAATAAGAAAGTAGAATAATGGTTATCAGAGGCTGAGAAGGGTAGTTGGGGAGAAGACAATCGAGAGAGGTTGGTCAATGGGTTCAAAGTTCCAGTTAGAAATAATACGTTCTGGTTGTTCTATTACACATTAGGGTGACTATAGCTAATAACAATGTATTGTATATTTCAAAATAACTAGAAGAGAGGATTTTAAATCTTCTCACCACAAAGAAAGGATAAATGTTTAAGGTGATAAATATGCTGATTACCCTAATTGACCATTATACAAGGTATCCATGCATTGAAACATCACACTGTACCCCATAAATATGTACGATTGCTATGTGTCAATTGTAAATGAAATGAAACATTTAAAAAAGAGCTTAGTATGGTGCCTAGACACTTTAGGCATTAATCAATCAAATAATATCAAGATATTATTATTATTATTCCTCCTCCCAGTAGTAAATTGCAGTGTAGTGGTTAAAAGTAATCACTTAAGACTCAGATATTTGGGTTAGAAACTGGCTCTGCCAATTTCTGTTGGCATAACTTTGGGCAAATCAGTTTCAATGTCCTGATCTATAAAATGGTAATAATAACAGAGAAAAACTCTGGTGATTGTAGCATGGTATAGGTAATTCATAGTGCTGTTTGTGCCTGGCACAGATGGACAAGCCTACAATAAATCATAGCTAGTAGTAAAATAAAAATCATGAAAAGGGTATGTTTAGATTAGCCACCAATGCTTAATTGTCCTCTAAGGTAATAACGTTATTTGTCTAATTTCACCTTTCCACTTACTTGCTTATCGGAAGGTTGATAGCTAGGGATTGCCAGAGTGTCTGAACTCAGAGGTAACTTCCCCTGAAGATCAAGGGCTGTCTGCAGCCCCTGCTGGAAGCCGGCTTGCCAACATCAGTCCTTCCACTTGGAGCAATTCTTGTGCAGTCACTGATGCAAAGTAATATTGAAAGAATTGCCTCAAGGATGTTCAATGGTGATTACTATTGATCGTGGCCTGGTAGGTGGAAAGACTGCTCAGAGGAACTAAATGCAGCGACCTCAGCTCTCACAGTTATTTATATATTGGAACTTGGTTTTGCAAAGTAAGTCAAATGAAACTGAACAACATTTGCAATAATCCTTCACTGCTGGCCAGACAGAGAAGGGTTTTGGGCTAAGAACTGGGCTAAGGAACCCTGCAGGTTTGAGGTTAGTTATGAGTTGGTGCTCCCTTGCCTACAGATTATTTCAAAACAATGTCCCTACAAATTACTGAACTGGAATGTCAACTCAGTGGATTCTTTTTTTTTTTTTTGAGACGGAGTCTCGCTCTGTCTCCCAGGCTGGAGTGCAGTGGCGCGATCTCTGCTCACTGCAAGCTCCACCTCCTGGGTTCATGCCATTCTCTTGCCTCAGCCTCCCAAGTAGCTGGGACTACAGGTGCCCGCCACCACGCCTGGCTAATTTTTTGTATTTTTAGTAGAGACAGGGTTTCACTGTGTTAGCCAGGATGGTCTTGATCTCCTGACCTCAAGATCCACCTGCCTGGGCCTCCCAAAGTGCTGGGATTACAGGCGTGAGCCACCGCGCCCGGCCAGTGGATTCTTTCTTCTCTGGCCACTCTTAAGGGACTCATGTACTGTTGGATTCAGAAGAGGGCGTTTAAAAATTCAGGGAACCACCTTCCCCTACTGAGCTCTAACACTAAGAACCAGAGGACCTATTCTTTTATGAAGGTCAAATGACCTTTGAAAAGGGGGACTTCCTTTTCTCCATAAATGATATTCTTTTCTTTTCCAAGGGGCTTAGGGCCCCCCAAGTTTGAGGCACACCCTGCCTTCAGTGGCGTGCCATGGCCTTTGGGTTAAAATGCACAATATTTAGCAAAACAGTCTCCCCAGTCATCTGGCCCGGTCTGGTTTCCTCTCTTACCCCTCCCGCAGTGCTCCTCACCTGCTTATTCTGGTTTAACCAGGTGCCTTAGTCAGCTGGGGCTGACATCACAAAATACCACACACGGGAGGTGGGGTGGTAGGGTTGGGGGTTAGATACAGACATTTATTTCTCACGTTTGGAGACTGGATGTCCAAGATCAAGGTGTTGGCCAATGCAGTGTCTGATGAAATCTCTTTTCTTGCTTTTAGACAGCGCCACTCCTCACTACACCCTGACATGGCATCTCCTCTGCTTGTTCGAGGAGGGAAAGGAACGGGGTGTGTGTGTGTGTGTGTGCGTTTGTGTGTAGATTGCTGTCTTCCTCTTCCTATACGGGCACTAATCCCATCATGGGAACCACACCCTTATCACCTGATCTAACCCTCATCACCTCCAAAGGCCCTGCCTCCAAATACTAGCACATCATGAGTCAGGGCTTCAGCATATGAATTTTGGGGGGACACAAACGTTCAGCCCATAACATCAGGGATTGCAAACTGTCACCTTCAGGGGCCAGGCAGGTACAATGAATTCTTGATGAGAGAAGGAAATTTAATATTTCAAACACAGTCATTTTTCATTGTCACTCCAGCCAGCCACACAAAACCAAGTTCACTGTCCCTCTCTTTTCTAAGTCCCCTCTCTTCCCCACACCCAGGTTCAGCCCAGGACAGCTCACACACTCCATCCCCAGCCAGGTGGGGCCAGGGCCTCTCCAACATCCCCAAGCTGGGGATGCTTCTGGCAGGATGACGGGCCTGGAAGCCAAGTAACTGGCTGACCCCGGGGACAAGGTGACCACGACGAACGACGACACGAGCAAACCAGGCCGCAGCTGATCCTCCTGAGGCTGCAGGGGCCCTGTGTCCCCATCCGTTCCCTCTGTGCAAAACCTTGACTCCCTGAGGTCTCCTGCCCCACCCTGCACCCTTCTTGCTCTGAATATGGAGGCACCTTGTACTTCCAGGAGGCAAAAGAGCCCTGAGGGAACCTCCTTCCATTTCCTGCTGTGAGGACAGCGGACCCCTGTCGCTGCCCAACTCCTTTGTCCTTTCCCCACAGGGACTACCTTTCCTCGAGTGACAGCCCCGCTCTCCTCAGGAACTCACCCCTGGTAACCCCTTCTCTCTTCTCGCCACCTATGGCCGCTCTCCTGTGAGCACTCCCGGGGCCTCCAGCTCCTTCTCTCTTGGCTTCATCCCAGACACATTTCTTCAGAGTTATCCTAATATGCTGTTTCCATTTTGTTTCCCACTGACTCTTCAGCCGTGATGCTGTGGTCTGAATGTGTTCCTCAATATCACATCTTACAAACCTTTTTTTTTTTTTTTTTTTTTTTTTTGAGGCCGGGTCTCACTCTATCGCCCAGGCTGGAGTGCAGTGGTGCGATCTCGACTCACTGCAGCCTCGACCTCCTGGTCTCAGGTGATCCTCCCACCTCAGCCTCCCAAATAGCTGGGACTACAGGTGTGTGCTACCATACTTGGCTAATTTTTGATTTTTGGCGGAGACAGGGTTTCCCCATGTTGCCTGCTCTGGTCTCAAATTCCTGAGATCAAGGGATCCACTGCTTTGGCCTCCCAAAGTGCTGGGATTACAGGCATGAGCCGCTGCCTCGGCCCAACATGTTGCAAACTTAATCCCTCACGAAACAGTGTTGGGAGATGGGGACTTTTGGGAATTTAGGCCGATTAATGCTGTTTTAAAGGGAACTTGTGGGAGTGGGTTCAGGCTCTTTCACTGTCCTGCTGTGTGAAGACACAATGTTCATCCTCTCCTACCCTCTGCCTTCTGCCATGTGAGGACACTGTAATAATTGGCACCTTGATCGGGGGCTTTGAAGCCTTCAGAACTGTGAGATGATATATTTCTGTCCTGTATGGGTTACCCAGGCTGTCATCTGGGTAATCCATCAAAGACTGTGACACTTTGTTACCGCAGCACAAGTGGGCTGAGACATATGGCGTGATTTCTCTTCCCACCCCTCTACTGACTGTCATCGCCAAACTCAGTGAGCATTTTTTAGTCCTTATCTTTCTAAAAGGACATCTTGATAGAGCGGGGACTGGAGCTCAGACAGTGCTGGTGATTAGGGTTGGGGTGTCTCCCCAGTTGATTTACAGTTGAGGCTTGGACACTGTTTTAAACTTGGGAGGAGTCTCCTAACCATCTAAACACAACCCTGATTCACCTGGTGGGCCAGAGCAGTCTGCCTGGAAGAAAAATACTGAGAAGCCAGCACTCTCATGACTATTGAGGTGCAGGGATATAAAATCTTGTACAAATTGCGATGGCTCTGGGCCAAGATCAATTTGTTAGAAACAGCCAGGCTTCCTGAGAGAATGTTCCATTAAGGGGAAAAGGAGTTTGGCTGGGCTTGACCAGGCAGTTCTCTCCCTTGGGGTCTCTCGTGAGGTTACTGTCAGATGGTGGTACAGCCACAGAAGTGGCTCCATACCACATGGCTGGCTGTGCCAAGCACTTAGCGGTCTCCCCCAACACCGTGATGTCGGGTTGGAGGGACTACTGGTTTGAGATAGAAAGTGGGACGAATGCTAAAACTCCATTTTAACCCTGCCACCACAGCACCAAAAAGCACATCTTTCAGCATGCTTTGTGGAAGAAGGATTGCATGTTTATGGCAATTAAAGATTGCAACACTTTTGATTCCCATAAAACTGTGTCTGGTTACACCTCTGACTGAACACAAGGGGGGGCTATCCTCTGAAATAGCAGAAACCTAACTTTCTGTGTGCAATGACAGCCAGAGCTTATTCCTCAGGTACCACCTGCCATAAATATACAAGTCCCTTTACCTAACAAAGACACAGTGATATTGGGGGTTCAGGCCACCACTAGTGGAGGGGGAGGAGACTAACCTTTGGCTCAACCTTCAGTGGAAGCAGATGTGCTTGAAGCTATTTGGGCAACAGAGTTCAAGGATTTGACCTGTGTCAACATGGGAGAGGGAAAGATTATAGCGGGACACTTTTGGCAAGCTCTGGAAGGAGACGAATTATGGAACATGCGCAAATAGAGACCGATGCACAGAAAAGCTAATAACATTCAGGCTCAGGGCTCCTTCCTTGCATGAGTCCCATGGCAGATTGTATTTTCCAAGATGGCAGCCACAAGACTCCAGCCACATGTACTCTTCTTACAGGATGAGGCCAATAGTCCTCCCATGGAAAGGTGGGGTCTATATGTCCTTCCCTAGAATCTGGGGAGACTTGTGACTCTCATGCAGATGATGCTGGAGTATTTCCAGGCTAGACTGTAAAGGAGAAATAACTTCTGCCTGATTCTGTTGGAAGCCAGTTGCAGGCTTCTAGGAAGCCCAGACACATGGAGAAGTTCTGAGTGTTTTGGCCGATAGTCACAGATGAGATTCCAGCAACAGCTGGGATCACCCATGAGATGTGCGTGAGGAAGGCTTTGAGATGGTTTCAGCCCTAGCCACCACTGACCTAAGAGACCACAAGAAAGAGAATCACCTGGCCAAACCCAGCAGACCTTCAGAATTCAGAAATAAAATAATTCGTCTTATTTTAAGCCACTGTGTTTTGGTTTGATTCATCCCATAGCAAAAGACAACTTCAACAGGCCCTTTCTGAGGCTCTGGAGGGGCCCTGGCAATGTATCCATTTGGTCATTTGCTTTTGTCAAAAGCAGACATTTTAGCTGTAATTGGCTAAAATTCTGATCTCTTTCTGCCCTCATGTTGGGTGGTGGTGGAGTGGATGTGGGCATTTTGAGGATCCAGCAAAAGAAGAATTGAGTTGAGTCATTGAGTTTGGGTTCCATGGGATTTATTTATGTGGTATGGAGTCATTTCTGTGTATGTTATTGCTAGCTGTCCCTGTGTAAAACAGATTTCAGAATAGTCTTCACCTCCCTTGTGCTGACTTACCTAGAGGTGTAATGTAAATATGCAAGACCATAGATTACATCACGATTGTGTCACAAGACATGTGCGTTTGCAGGAACATGGATGGAGCTGGAGGCCATTATTCTTAGCAAACTAACACAGGAACAGAAAACCAAATATCGCATGTTCTCACTTATAAGTAGGAGCTAAATGATGAGAACACATGGACACGTCGAGGGGAACAACACACACTGGGGCCTATCAGAGGTTGGAGGATGGGAAGAGAGAGAGCGTCAGGAAAAATAACTAATGAGTACTAGGTTTAATACCTGGGTGATGAAATAATCTGCACAACAAACCCCCATGACACATGTTTACCTATGTAACAACCCTGCACTTTTATCCCTGAACTTAAAATAAAAGTTGAATAAGAAAAATAGAAATGTACAAAGCTAGAAAAGAGTGTAGCTCATCCCATCTGGGAATTAAACCAAATCTTACAGCTCATACATAAAAATAGTTTGATAAAGATTTTCCTAAGTGTGCCAAGAATCCTGAAAACTAATCTTCCATTATCGATCATGAGCTATGAAGCCAGAAGAAAAATTTAAATCTATCAATAATAAAATACTAGAGCCAAAATAGTTTATTATTCTCTTCTCTCATAGAATATGATATTACAACATTATTGAAGAGGCAATCAAAGCATACACAGGCAAAAATGTTGGTAAAGGAGTATTACAGCAATAGGTCAGGAATTTGTTTAATTAAAATTGCTATTTTACTGAGTTTTATATATATTTAGTGGTAGCAGTAGCCAGAGTAGACTTTGCTGGAGTCTGGGCCATTGAGATTGGTATTATTAAGGTTATGTTGGCCTCATTTGCTCTTACCTTCTGGCATACACAGGATACATCTCACTTGATTTCTCACAAGTCTTTGGTACCCATGACCACTCCCACCTTTTTACAATTTTCACTTTTGCTGGCTTCTCTGGACTCACGCTGTCAATTTTCCCCTCTGGCTAACTGTTCTCAGTCATCTCTACAGAATTCTCTCCTTCTGGGTCTTTATGTTGTTGAGGACTTTATCCTAGGGCTTCTTTTTCTCTCTCTGAGCAAGCTTGTCCACCCCCATTGCTTCAATCCCACCTATCTGCTGACAACTGCTGATTCCACATCTCCAGCTCAGACCTCTTTCCTAGGCTCTACACCAGGAATTGGCAAACTTTTTCTGTAAAGCGATGATAACAAATATTTTATCAGCTTGCTGCTCATTGTACTGTCTCTGTCACATCTGCTCAACTCTGCTAAGGTAGTGCAAATATAGCCACAGAAAATGGTAAAAGAATGGGTGTGGCCATGTTCCAATAAACTTGATTTATAAAAATAAGCCTGCTTCATGGGCTATAATTTGCCAACTCCTGTTCTAAACCAGAATATTCAACTCCCTTCTGGAAATTTCCACTTGGGTTTTCTCAAGTTCCTAAACATAACATTGTCCCCAGGCAATTTCATCTTATTCCCTCCTATGTGTTCCTTCTTAATGAATGATCCACTATCCACCAGATGTCCAAGACAGAAATTCAGGCAGCATACTTGATTTCATTCCCCACATTCAGTCAGTCACAAAATCATGTCAATTCTACTTTCTCAACATCCCCCTAATCCATTCTTTTTTCTCTTTCTCCACTGCCTTCTTTCACCCCCTCTCATCTCTCACCTCCTATGACCTCCTCACTACACTGCAATCAGAGAGATCAAGCCACCCTTGGATTTTAAAAGCCTTCAGTAACAGTAGTCCCTGCCTTTCTTTGGCTGAAGTCTAAACTTCTTGAAACAGAGTGAGAAGCCTGCACAATTGGACCATTTCCCCATGTTAGCCAAATTCCTCTCATCTGCCTGCTCCTCCCGCCTCTGGGACCCTGCACATATATTTCTTCTGCTTAAAGAATGTGTAGCAGGTGAAGCAACTATCTGAGGCCAGTATCCCATGGGCAGTAAGAAGAATTTACCAAGACAGTTGTAGATAAAGAAAGGCAGATTTATTAAAGAAAGCATGAAAATATGTTGCAAGGCAGCAAGGGGCAGGCCAGCAAGAGAGGAGCTGAATGCCAAGAGACAAAGGCTTGCTGGGGGTTTTATAGGATGTTGCTTGTGCTGCGTGCTGAAGAGGGCTTAGTGCAGTACTGATAACACCAAGGTTGCAGTGGGATAACCTGCATTTTTCTATCAGCTGAGGGCCTGGTGATAGCTGGGCACAGGAAGATTGTGAGTTATTTGTGCAGGAGGGCTATGGTCCTGGACCATGAAGAAAGGCAAACTTATAGCTTATCTGCTTTCTCTTTCTTTTTTCCTCAGTGTCACCAGCCTGATTCCTTTTGCCTAATTAGGACTTCACAGAATTATTCTCCTTTCTCATCCTTCCAGCTGTCTTCTAAGTCTCAACTTGGATGTCACTTCCTCTGGGAAATGTCTCCTCACCTCTCAAGACTGTCTCTCTGTGCACCACTACAGCAAATGGGACCTGGGCCACTTCACTTTTACAATTCCAGTTTACAGACCTGCATTGCCCCAACCCCGTTAGACCAAAGACTCCCTGAGGGCAAAGATGGCCTCTTATTTACTCTTGATTCCCTAGCACCCAGCACAGCACTAAGCATTGTACCCACTGAAAGAACATCTGAAGGATGAGCGTTTATAGCAAAAGTGGTTTCCACTGACGTTCCCTTCTCTCTTCCCCAACTTTGGATTGAGGAGCCCAGGAGCTGGTCAGGTGGCAAGATAAGATGAGAACGGAGAAGTCATTACTTGGGGCCTCTGTTTTGCTGGTGTTTTGCTGGTGTGTGGAGATGGTGGGTTTCCCTTGAATACCTGGGAGGCAGGAGCAGGCATGAACTACTCCAGCCTCTGGGTTCTGGATCCACATGGGGTGCTGCTGCTCTCTGGCACCCATCAGTCCTTAACCATCTGGTCTCCAGCCAGGGAAGGAGCGTGGTGGTGGAGAAGCCTCTCTGTCCCACCCACTCATCCCAGGAGCTCACGAGAATCAGCCAAAGTCCGAGTTCTGCACCCTGAGTTAGGAACTCTATAACTTTAGACTTTCCCTGAGCTTTGGGAGTTCTCTTAACTAGTGTGAAAGCAGTTACATCATCCTGGGTCCTCCTAAAATAGACACATGTATCCAAATATAGGCACATGTATTGCAAACATAACATGTATGTATATATGTAAATATATACATATAATTTTTGTTTTGAATTAAGTATAAACACAACAAGTTACAAATATAGTACTGAGAGGTCCTTGTATGGCCCCGCCTCCCTCAGGCAGTATCTTACATAACTATAGTTCATGATTACAACTGGAAAGTTGCCATTGGCACCACATCAGAAACTAGTCTGCAGACCTTGCTCAGATTTCACCAGGTTTTTTGTGCACTCATTTGCTTTCCTGAAAATATTTTAATGTTTTTCTACATGACTTATCTCCCCGACATACTGTGAGATAAGGTTTTTTTTTCTCCGAATAAGCTTAGAGAACAATGAATGTGAGAGGTGGGAAGGATGATTTGGTGCATCTCTGTTTTATCCATGGTGAGTCTGGACCTCAGAGCAGAAGGACCCTCGTCTCTCCTCTGGGGAGTCCTGGTGCCAACTCAGTGCAGGCTGCTAAGTTATCCGGGTCTGACTGTCTTCTTCTCTGCTAAAATTTGTCTTAAGCATGTAACACAGCCATGCTTATTAATGATGAGGAGACAGCCAATGAAAATTAATTTTTTCAAAGATGAATAGATATCTAGATTTTTTCAAGCACAACTCATTTAAGAAAATATCACCTCACTGAGCCCCAAATGAGTTAGGTCTCACTTAGAAAGTGTCCCCTAGTGCCAGGTAAAGTGCCTCATATTTGCAATCCCAGCACTTCTGGAGACGGAGATAGGAGGATCTCATGAGCCCAGGAGTTCAAGACCAGCCTGGGTAACATGGCAAAACCCTGTCTCTACAGAAAATACAAAAAAAAAAAAAATAGCTGGGCGTGGTGGCGTGCACCTGTGGTCCCAGCTACTCTGGAGTCTGAGGTGGGAGAATCGCTTGAATCCAGGAGGTTAAGGCTACAGTGAGCTGTGTTTGCACCACCGCACTCCAGCCTGGGTGACAGAGCCAGCCTCTGTTTCCAAAAAAAAAAAAGAAAGAAAGGAAAAGAAAATGCCCCCGAGTTGATTACATTTTAACCACTGTGCTAACTTGAGAGATAGTCTGCTATCTCTTTACAGGACATGAGGGCTGATAATCACCTCATTGCATGGTCCTGGGGACTGATGAACAAAGGCTAACATGTGGAAAAGGGCAACTAAAGAAAGAAGAGCCACCTCCAGGTTAATTAGTACAAGTCTCCTCGCTGGTATGCCCTAATACACTAAAACAGCAGTAAAAACAATCTGCACATTGGCATCGAAGGCACAGATAAACTTGCCGAGGACCCTTACCACGGCAGAGGGATGCTTTATATGAGTCCTTAGTAGATTAATTAAGTTCTTGCTAGTTCCATTTGGAAATGATGCTGTCCTCTTGGGGCTATGCAGAGAAGTTCATGTTGATGAAATGAGCTGTCCTAGAATGGCAGTTCCCGGGCAGCAGAGCCTGGGCTCAAGGAAGGTTGAAAGAAGGGGTGGCGTGGAGCTGCCAGGTGCAAATGTCAGGCCAGCAATGCAGTCCAGCTTGCATGGACGTGCTTCGCCTAGGAAGTTGTGACTTGGCTGCATTTTCCACTTCAGGTGAGATGGAAGGTTGAACTCTACCTCACCTCCTGGTGAGGTTGATGTTTCCTGGTGTTTATAACTTTCTTTGTAAATACTTGAAAGGAATTTACCATTTTAATGCTGGAAGAGACGTCTATTCCTTCTTAAGAGGACCTGAGTGGATCTTGATTGCAGGCCTTATGCTGGGCAGAGCTAAGGAGAATTCAATTTGTCTCCAATCTTATTTGAATGTTCTTTTTTTTTTTTTTTTTTTTTTTTTTTTTGAGACAGAGTCTTGCTCTCTCACCCAGGCTGGAGTGCAATGGCACGATCTCGGCTCACTGCAACCTCTGCCTGCTGGGTTCAAGCAATTCTCCCACCTCAGCCTCCCCAGTATCTGGGACGACAGGAGCATGCCACCATGCCCTGCTAATTTTTGGTATTTTTAGTAGAGATGGGGTTTCACCATGCTGGCCAGGCTGGTCTCAAACTCCTGACCTCGTGATCCACCTGCCTTGGCCTCCCAAAGTACTGGGATTACAGGCATGAGCCACCGCGCCCAGCCTATTTGAACGTTCCTATGCCTGCTACAAGTGCAGCAGCAGAATCTCCACACATCTTGCGTGCGAAAGTTTCCTGTAGTTCCTTTAGCATAGAGAGGCTGGGGAAGGTTAGAGACTGACTTGTACTCTTTAGACATATAGTTGATCATTGAACAACACACGTCTGAACTGTTACACACAGATTTTTTTCAATAAATGTGTTAGAAAATGTTTTGGAGTTTTGCAACAATTTGAAAAAACTCAAAGACAAACCATCCAGCTAGAAATATCAACAAAAATAGAAAAAGTTAAGTATGTCATGAATGCATAAAATATATGTAGATACCTAGTCTATTTTATTCTTTACTACCATAAAATATAACAAAACTATTGCAAAAGTTAAAATTTAGTAAAAATTGTGTACACACTCACAGATCGTATATGGTGCTATTCTCAGTTGAGAGAAGTGTATACAAACATCAAGATGCAGTATTAAATTGTAACTGCATAAATTTAACCGTAGTGCATACCACACTATGGTAATAATTTCATATCCTCCTCCTGTTGCTGTTGCAATGAGCAAAGGTGTTGCGAGTATCCACTTAAAACGTTCTGTGATACTCAACATTCCATCATGAGCAGTTCATCCCCAGTGAATTGCGCATCACAGTAAAAAGTGCTCTCTCCCTGTTCGCATGTATTTTTCGTCCTGTTTCGTGCTGTACTGTAAACCTTGAATAACACCATGGGATCCAATATGAAGTGGCACTAGTGATGCTGGAAGTGCTCCCAAGAAGCAGAGAAAAGTCATGACATTTGACATTACAAGAAAAACTGGATTTGCTTGATATGTAACAGAGACTGAGGTCTGTAGCTGGGGTTGCTTCCATTTCAGACAGATGATTCATCTTGTAAACAGGTGGTGTAAACTTACTGTATGGAAAAATACATAACAGTACCACAGATGTATTTTCTCCTTACGAACATTTCCTTTTCTCTAGCTTACTTTATTGTAAGAATACAGTATATCATACATATAACATACAAAATACATGTTATTAACTGTTGCTGGTCAACAGCAGGCTGTTAGTAGTTAAGTTTTTGAGAGTCAGAGTTATACCTGGATTTTCTACTGTGTATGGTCAGTGTGCCAACCCCTGAAATTGATCAAGGGTCAACTGTAATCCTAAAAGAATCTAATACAATATTGTAAACAGTAAGTGGTCAATAAATAAGGAATTGAACTAATAAGAATACATAAATCCCAGAATATGTGCAACCTGATCATAGTACACAGAGATCTCTCTATATATCTCTTTTCTTAGTTCATGCTGTTCTTTCAGGTAGAAAGCGCCTTATTTTGAATTAGTTGTCTTTAGAGCAAAAATCCCTCCAAGAGTGCTGTGTGGTTTCCTATGCACAACCTGGAATAGTCCATTGCTTCATGCCTACCCTGGACATGAAGGGCCATGCCGCAGCGGAAGTCTCTATGCACCCACCCCCGTCTATACCTGAGCAACACATTCCTCTTTGCTGCTCTCTTACAGGCTACAGAGTGCGGTGGCGCCAGCACAGAGCTCTGCTCAACGTCCCTCTGTGCTTTCACGATGCTGATGGATTATGAAGGTAGGGAAGAATGTACAGCCAGGAGGCCATTAGGAGGGCAACTAATTTATAAAATCACATTTGTAGAATTTAATGCATCCAACAACTACCAGGGGAAAGGTGGGCAAAAGCTATACCAACACCACCCAAGTCAAAACCAAAACAACAGGAAAAGAAAATTATGTGGATGTAGAATTTCTGATAACATCATTCCCAAGGTGCCTTATCCAAGAGGAACTGCTACAATAATATTTTAAGTGGAAATAAATACATGCTGGAAGCATTATATATTAGTAGAGTATTTTTTTTTCCCAGAGTACTTTCTCAAGCACATCAACATGAGCCCCCTAAGAGACATTTCACATTAAAAATAAAATGTCTGCCCACTGCTGGTTTCTCAATCTGCCTCCACCTTCTGTCCCCTTTAATGAACTGGGCCATGAGGTGAGTCAGAGAGGATAAAGGGAGTGGTAAGAATTTGAGGAGAGAAGAGAGTGAGGCTAAAATAGGAAATCAGGAAAAGCGATTCGGTCCCCCTGTCCCTCACATGGGGCCACCCTCTTGTTGCCCAGTGTGGCTTCTTCTTGAGGGTTCTGCATGGTTCCTCAATCCCAGGGAATTCCGCAGGACATTCCACCCAAGACCATTGGGCTCCCACCTCTACTCTTTTGCCAGTTAATGAATAGGCAGGAATTTCACTGCCTGGAAAGAGGAACAATGCTTTCTGGTCCTTATTTCACATCTAAAATAGAGAGGTCAATTGATTTATTCCTAAATATCTTTGAACACTAAAATAGAAGTTTTACAGCATATATACTACCTGGTTGCTCTAGACTTAAGCCAGGGAAAAGTACAGATTCAACATTTAAAATTGAGATAGACGCTTTCCACTTAATGCTACCAGTCTTGCTTTATTTCATGAGAATGAGAATATAATAATATGGCATACGTTCATTTGGGGGAAAGATTGATGTCTTATAACATAATTTATAATTACAGAAAACATGTGAGTTCACTGGGAATAAATAAATTTTGAAGATAATAAGATACTTTCACTTATGTCGTAATTTCTATGTCATTTGGTGTAGGATGTAGAGATATTAACGTTTACACCTAACTTAAGTTTGTCATCTAAGACCTGAAGGGGTTTTGTCTATCAGCTGCACCCCTGGGTAGAGACACAACCTTGGGGAAGGCCTCAGCCCCATCCCTCGTACAGCAGGAATGAGAACAGCCCTGCCTGTTGGGAAGCTTGAGGGAGGCTATGGACGTGCAGCGCTTGGCAGAGGGTCTCGTCATGGAAGGTTCCAGCAAATGTGAGATACTTTTATGATTTCATTTTCTCCAAAAGAAAGGGAATAAGAGAAGAGGGGAGGAAATAAGACTAATTGCGAGAGATAAAGTACAAGGGTGAGGGAAGGAATAAGGAGACATGACGGCAGCGTGGAGCAGCCGAGGGGGGAGATTGCTTTCACCACTTCCCAGCATCTATTGCAGATTCCACCCTCAAACATGTTGTAAGGACTCTTTATTCAAGGTAATGTTTGAACCCTGCTGAGCCAGTGGCATGGGTCTCTGAGAGAATCATTAACTTAATTTGACTATCTGGTTTGTGGATGCGTTTACTCTCATGTAAGTCAACAACATCCTGGGATTGGGACCCACTTTCTGGGCACTGCTGGCCAGTCCCAAAATGGAACATAAGGAAGTGGTTCTTCTACTTCTTTTATTTCTGAAATCAGGTAAGACATAGTTTTTTTAAATTATAAGAATTATTTTTTCTCCCACAATGTAGTAAAAATACATATGCCATGGCTTTATGTGCAATTCATTTAATTTTTGATTCATGAAACTTCCAGTTGAAAATCTTGTATAAGATTGAGGAATTCTTCAAGAAATAAGTTTAAGTTTCCTGTGAAGATTGTCAGGGTGCTGGAATGAATGGGCAGAGAAAATAATGGGTGATTTTTCAAATCTAAATGAGTGCACCCACATAATGGCCAGTCTAATTGAAAAAGAGCCAATGTAGCTAATTATGCAAAGGACGGCTAAGCTCTTTGCCTGGTTCTCAGTTTGACTAATTTATATCATCTCTGTTACGGTGTCATGCTCCCCTCACTTGCAAGTTAAAACAGTGAAATATCTCTTTGAATATATTCCGTTCTCTCACCAGTTCATGGTGGCGGCAGGGTCGGGGACTCAGCATTTCTCCCTTTGTTATGGCCTGAGGAAGGCTTTCCATCAGTATACGTTTGCCTCTTATCCCCGGAAAAATCACACGCATCCATTTGCCAGATGCTGTGTGCAGATAGTGATCAACAAATACTCAGTTGCTTGGGTTAGGTCCCTACATTTTTACACATACATACATACCTGTGTGTGAATGTGAGTGTGAGTGTGTATCCTTTACAAATACTAGCTTATTTAGCTCGTGGTATAGGTAGGGTAGCATATTCATCCTCATTTTATAAACAAAGAAATCAGACTTAGGAATATCATGTTATTTGCTCAGTGACCAAATTCTCAGATCTGGGAAATAAAGAAAACTGGATTTAAGCCAGGTTTCCCAGAAGGAATCTAGGGCTCTTCTCACTTTTCAGCTTTGTTTAAGCCTTTGAAAGAATATTCTAAACATGTCCTAGTACTTCTTTTTCTTTAAAAAAAAAAAAGCTTTATTGAGATATAATTAACATATAGAATTCACCCATTTAGGCATACAATCCAATGGATTTCAAGATATTGAGAGTTGTGCAGCCACCATCAGAATAAATTTTAAAACTATTCATACCCCCAAAAACGCACTCCACTCTCCTTAGCTGTTACCCCCAATCTGCAGCTTCTGGCAACCACTAATCTACTTTCTGTATTTATATCTTTGCCATTTTGAACATTTCATACAAACGGAATCATACGATTTGCTAGTAGTTCTTCATGTAAATAATGTACGCTTGAAATTCAATCTATAAATTACCAGATAAAATTTTACAAGTTGCACTTTAGAGTCAAATACATTTGAATTTAGTGGAAGCCATTCAAGGAGCTATCAAAGAAAATACAGAGCAGGAGAAAATTAAAGAAATTTTTGTAAGAAATTGGTGTATGTTGGGGGGTATGAATATTATATTTCAATGCATGGAAACTAGGACATAGATCACTATGAACTTATTCAGTGGGCTACACCCAAAGGCTAGATCAAACTTCTCTGCCACAGGATTAACATATGTTTTAACCCACCTGGTGGGCACATTCTCTCATAAGCTCTTTTGGAAAGCCAGGTTTTCTGTGGATGTATCATCTTTCCAGTGTGCTGCAATGCCCGGGGAGAGGGAAAAGTTTCTTTTACAGCCATGCTTAGTGGGAAGTGGAGAAACATCTTCCATTTCACAAATTAAGTCTTTTACACATGCAAATATGCATACACATTCACACACCACAGTGAGGAAGAAATTCTCACACCATTAATAAAATACATTTGCATCAGTAGCAATATACATCTGCATTTTGCCTATAATATAAATGTATTTTTCCACTAAAAGATTTGTTTGATGTTTCCTTGCCAGCAAATAAGCCCTATCAAATCCTATTGCCATATGAGTCCTAGAGGTGAATAAGAGAAGAAAAAATGGGGGAAAATTATTTCAAACTGAAAAGAGAAAAGTTTGATTCTGTTTTGGGATATTTCCTAGGGACATGAGCTGGGGAGGGGATCTCAGCAGCGATGCGCTATGAAGCATAGTAACATAACACAGAGAACTTAATTGAAGGGGGAAATAAATGGAAGTTTTCTTTTTTTGAATATCAGTTGTAGCCTGCTCTGCTATACTTCAAAAAAACTCTTCAGAAAGTTTAACTGAACTCACTGTAGGACACACTTTGTGGATTTATTGTGTGTTTTGAAGTCACACTGTGAGCTATATAGAATTAACCAAAACACAACTCTTCTTGAAAATGAGAGTTCAAGTTGGCAGAAAGTGCGGGGTAAAGACATGGATATGGGCCTAAAGCATCTATTTCTTTGTGATCTTTTGATATATCTCTCAAGTGCTTTTTAGTGGATTAGCTTTAGAATGCATCAGCCAACTCCTGCTCAATAATCCATTTTTCCAGCCCGGAATGTCTTAAATTGAGGAAGGACAAAGTCCCAGAGGTGGGGAGCAGGGGGACTTTGGCCGAGGACTTTGCATGAATCGATGAGCATGCATCCACCTCCCTGTCCTGCCCCTTGTGCTCTGTGTACCCTCAGGAGGTCAGGACAGGCCTTTCTGAGAATGAAAATCTGTTCATTTGCTTTCCTACTGGATACTTGTCATCAGCATACAAACCAATGCGCTCTGCAGTGTGTCATCTTTCAGAACCTCCCCTGACCGCATGTTCCCTGGAGGGCTCGCTGTCTTCAGAGCCAGGCTTGTCTCCTGCTGCAGCCTCCACTGCTCTCCTAGTCACTCTGTAACCCACCCCCTCTGCCTGCGGCCCCCACCACGCCCCTCAAAGTGGTCAAGGTTGTCCTGTTGTCTAATTCCATGGAGCTTGCCTGTCTTCATTTTATTAGCCTCTTTTGGCCTCTCACCCTTGTGCAAATCACTAGCATTCTGTGCCAAGGACGGAGCTGGCATCTCCAGGCTTGGAATAGAGCTACCAAAGCTCAGCCAGATGTCTGGAAGAGCCTCAGGACAAGGGGACACCCTGTAGCCTTGTGGTGGGAGCACAGCTGAGGCCCCCTTGGCCACCCTCTGCCACGACCAGGCAGAAAGCAGCTTTCGGACAGATTCGTTGTCTCAGATTTGATCTCAAAGAAAAACCAAGACCAGTATTTGTCCCAGGTCCTGCTTTTTTACAATTTCCTCCGAAATCCAGATACCTGTCAACACCTTGGAAAAACTGACTTCTCCCCAATTAGTAGTGTTGTGTGACTGTCATAAGCCCAGTACAAAAATGGCCTTCTTTGTTGGGGAGCTTCTTACCCTCCAGTGTTTTGCCCAATTTTTGTCCAAGGTGGCAACATAATTTAGTTCAGTTCTTGTTTATTTCCACCATCATCTATGCACCAAAATTTATGTTTCTCAAGGAGGGACCATTCAGAGGATGCTTCCCACCGGTTCAAGTGACAGTGCCAGAACCAAAGCGCATATTGTAGGAAATCAAACAATGGCCTCCAAGTTCCATTTCTACCCAGGGATGAACAAATCAACATCAATCTTGGTAACACAACTGCCACTGATGGTGCCTTACTCTTCTCTCATGACATGGCACAATCAATAGCAAACATAAAATTTGTTCTTGTTTAAGGATTTATATCCACTAATATGGTAACATAGTAGTGGTTCCATAGTTCTAACCTGTTTGTCAATCCAGTTAATCTTTTACTATCTTGCAATCTGCTAATGAAACTGTTTTTCTTTGTTTTATAATTTCAACTTTTAGAGTCAGGGGTACATGTGCAGGTGTGTTACATAACTAAATTGCGTGACACTGAGCTTTGGGGTACAAATGATCCCATCACCCAGGTAGTGAGCTAAATACCTACTAAATAGGTAGTTTTTCAGCCCTTGCCTTGCTCCCTCTCTCCCTTCTCTGGTAGTCCCCAGTGTCTTTAGTTGCCATCTTTATTTATGTCCAAATGCCCGACTGTGTGTTCTTAACTAAACATTTTGATTCATAGCTACCCATTCTACTTCCAGTAAACAGAAAGTTTTATTTGGTTAATGCTAACCAAATAGATTAAAAGGAAGTCATGACAATTAGACATTGACATTGATTTACTGACCATTTATTCCACTTGGATCTCCCACCTCTAGGTCAAGGAGAGCCTCTGGATGACTATGTGAATACCCAGGGGGCTTCACTGTTCAGTGTCACTAAGAAGCAGCTGGGAGCAGGAAGTATAGAAGAATGTGCAGCAAAATGTGAGGAGGACGAAGAATTCACCTGCAGGTATTTCCATTGTCGTTGCACCTACGCAGGAATCTGTAATTCAGATGGCAAGTAATTTACTCACAAATTTATTAATGATTTAAGAGGAAAGAGAAATTTATGGAGCCAGAGTTTGGAACTATATTTGCTCACAGTATGTGAAGCCATACTAACAGCTTCTTGTTAAGGTTTATTGGAGTCTTTGTTAGAAAAATACCCTCAAAGGAAGTTATTTGTTTTTACACCGGACACAAACATTAGCAGTTATTGTTCTGAGCTCCAGTTTTCAACATCATCATCAGTAAATGTTTGTTGAGGATCAGGTGAATGAAAGTGTCCTAGATAGATCTGAGCAATGACTTATAGCTACAAGATCCAGTGCCTGCCCTTTAGTATTTAAGGTGTAGTCAAAGAAACTGGATATAATGTTAAAAAAAAAAAAAAGACAGCCCAAGTGAGGTACAGGCATAATCAATGCATGCTCTACCCAGATCCAGAAGAAAGAACAGTGCCTAAGGTTGAGGCAGCTAGAGAAGGCTCAGGGAGGAGGTGGGAACTGAGCTGGGTTTGGAGTTGAGAGAGCTCTTGACAAGCACCAGGAAGGCAGGGGAAGATGCGGCCCTGCACCTTCTGAGGGGGACCATTAAGAGATGAAGTTGACTAAAGCAGAGACTTTGTGTAGGTGACGGGCTTGGGAAGGTAGCTATGGAATCCAGACTGAGCACCCATAGCAGGACCACGGGATGGAGATGGGAGGGGTCAGGGGCCAGGGTGGGGTGGAATGTGGAGCAGAGGTTCAGGGGAACTGATCAGAGTTGGGAGGTCATGGAGACGGACTATCTTGGCGAATGGGTTCAAAGCAACCAGAGTTGCTTCTTTCCAACCCAAAAACAAAAATTAAGAAGATGAGTGAAGAAGAAGTAAAGCAGTTGAAACAGGAAGAAAGGGAAAATTATGAGGGAGGGAAGGTAAGGGCAGATAAGATTTGCTGCCACGTTGGTGTATTTTGTTCAGTACTTCATCGATGCCATGCCCAAATAACTGAAAGAGGCAGCAATTCTGAGCTCTCTGGTCCCTCAAGATATTCAATGATCTTTAGCATGTCTCACTTATTAATAAACATTTGTTTTCTTTAAATAAAGAAAAATACTTATTGGATTTCCTGCTTCGTTCTGCAGGGCATTCCAATATCACAGTAAAGAGCAACAATGTGTGATAATGGCTGAAAACAGGAAGTCCTCCATAATCATTAGGATGAGAGATGTAGTTTTATTTGAAAAGAAAGGTGAGTACATTTTCTTCCTCCTCCTCCTACTGTCCTCCCCATCCTCCCACTCTTCCTCTTTCTCTATTCTATCTTTAATTTATAAGACCAGAGGAGGAAGGCACTATCGTGTTATAAAACTGAATTCTGAGTTAGGACAGGATTTGATTACTAACTAACCATGTCAGCTTGAGTGTATTACTTCACCTCTTAGATTTAATTTTTTTTGTTCAAAAGATGAAAGGATTAGATTTACAAAATCACTTCTACCTCTATGACCCTGAAAATAAGATTTTTAAAATATTATTTTATATTTAACAAGGAGATGGGAAGTCTAAGCATTCCTTTTGGTCTTGGCTTCTTATTCTGCAGGGTGACCATGGTCCTTGGGCCCTAACATCTGGATGAAGCCTTGTAAAACAGAAATACTGAGGTGTTTTAATCCTCAGAAACATTTAGATTGGGACACAAATCTTATTTTTACTCTTAAATTTTTCACATTTTGGGGGACATGGTCTATATTTTTCTCAGATTTCTGAAATGTTGTCTTTTAAAAATGTGTAAAAGTTACAGTTCCTTTTCTATAGTTTATTTTAAAATGTGGGTCAATAGTCCCACTGCTTAGAATAAGAGGCAGACAGGATTTCAATAGAAATTGCATGCCTTTTTAGATGTGCAAATGTTTCATTAAGCATTTCCCATCAAGTATATCCCATCAAGTATGCTCCCATTAAGCATATCCCATCAAGTATAAATATTTGAAGGGATGCATGACACTTTAAAAACTGTTTCCTCTACTGTGTTGGTAGCCAGGTATTAAGACTGTTAATAGTAACAATTTAGCTCTCCAAACATTCTGCATCCCAGGTGTTAAAGAGGACTGGAAACACCTTAGTTCTTGTATTCTTGAGGATGATTTGCCATATTGTGTCTAGTATTACGGCAAAACTCTAAGTAGCATTTTAAATAGTATTTATTTGGGTTGGAATTATTTCTATGCATTGACTCATCTTCCTGGGTTTCATTAGCTGTACGCATTGTACTTCCTTCCTTACCACTATTTATCTCGAATTCTTGAGATTAAAGTGCAGATTAAATCTAAACTTTATCTGGTGAAGTTATTAGTTCTTACAAGTAGCAAGCAAACGGTAAACTAAATAGGATCACCTAATTGTACCAGATTTTAAAAAAAAAAAACCCTGATTCTCCTGATTCTCTCTACAAAATGCTAACATTTAAATATGTCATTTGTAAATTGTTAACCAGAAGGAACATGGGAATGACTGTAGGTTGAGTTTGAAGTCTGAAGTTTGAAGGCTTAGTTTGCTTGTTTTCAAAGTGACAGAAGGGAGCAAAAGGTTATATAAACTCTGATGGGTACATACAAAAAAAAAAGAAGTGAAAAGTCAAAAGTCAGTCATTTTTTGGTCCTTGTTTCTTTGCTGTGGGATATTGACCTGCTACTAACTTACCTGCCAGGGTTTTGCCAGGAACAGTCAGTGTTAGATCACATTTACTTCTGCCACTTGCCACCAGCCACACTGCCTTCACCAAGTCCAAGACCCTATCACCACTGGTTGGGGCTACTTGTAGCTGTACACATGATCTCTAAGAAATGTAACTTCCCTGTTTAAAGCCCTTCCTAGTGCCCTTAAAATAAGACCCAAAGACTTCCCAAATGTGCTAGGGCCCAGCATTATTTAAGTAACCCCCAGCTGCTGTTTGCTTGGCTTGCTAAACTTTTCTACACTGGCCTTACTTCTGTTCCTTCACCACCCCAAGCACACACCCTCCTGCCTGGGACCCTCTTCACCTTTGTCCTGCTGTGCCAGCTCCTTCTTATCTCCTAGGTGTCAGCTCAATCATCATGTCCTTTGCAAATCTTCCTTGACCCCTAGACCTCCCTTTCACAAAGTACCTTGAGTTTACACTTTTGATGAGTGTCTTATGTCTACTGTAATACTATGTCCCAATGAAGATGTACTTGCAATCATAATACGCAGTATTGGGTTAAAAGCATTAGTTTGCTGTAGGTATGTTAGGAGCACTTTCCCCATGTGATTGATCAATTAATTAAAAAATGGCTAAAGTGGGTAACCTTAAATGATGGTGTAAATATACCTTAAACATTTTATATTTTCATTGAAAACACAAGTGTACTTGACACCTTTTGACGTAGAGCAGAGGCTTTTCTTCTTCGAATATGGGGTCACCAGTAGAAGGTCTCTGGTGTATTTCCTGCATAAACTATGCTCCAGTGCAACATCTACAATAATTACTTTCCTTATTTTTGAAGTGGACCATATCTCGACATTTATTAATCAATCTGAATGTGTAAAACCTTTAGATTTTTATGAATTCCTCCTCAAGCTTTATAGTCAACTATATGAGTGGATTGCCCTCTGTGGATTTGATAGCAATTTTTTAAATGATTCATGTTTCAACTTGTTAAAAACATTTAATTTAGTTAAAAACCAAACAAAAAAGAGCTTTGTTTCTTTTCACATTCATTTCTCAGTTTAGATCATCTTTAATTAAATATAAATGTAAGAAAGTTGGAAAATGCAAAGAAATGACTCGTTGTAAGCACATAACTCACGTGGGGGGAACAGACATGGGTGGGCACACTAGCAAACACCTGCCAGCTGCATGTGGACCCAGGTGGGCACCGGACTGTTTTAAACACAGGAGAGGGCCCGTTGTCTAACTGGTGAGTTGGTTGAGTGGAAGCTGGTTGAGAACTTTTACTGCAAACCATTTACAGTAGACCACAATTTTATAGCCCTGTTTGGCACTTTTTCATATCACTGGGAGCCTGAAGAAATAGAAGTGGGTTGGATCTCTTTCAGCCTCTGAAAAGCCTGCCATTCCCCCATCTAAAAAGCCCTTTCCCCATTCTCTCACTCTGTCTCATCATGTATGTAATATGTATCATCATTAAGTGATCTCATTTTATATTGTTTCCTTGAATATTTCCTGTAACCCCCCTGCCTGATTCCACTAGAATGTAAGCTCCATGACGGCCAAGCCTCTGGCTGCACTGTGCCCCGTGTGTCCCCAGCATCCTGGTGGGGCTCGATACACAGAGAGCTCATAAGTAGCATTTGAATACATGAATCAAAGAATGGCTCAGTTTACTGCAGCCTTTTTGCAGATGCAAAAGATGATCTTTTAGAAAGCAGAAACAGGGGGTCTGGTGCATGAGATCTTTTTCTCAACGTGACTATGCTGTGCAGACCTTCATGTGGTGTCTTGTGAAAGACTTTGACCACTGTGTGGACTTCCCTTCAGTGTATCTCTCAGAGTGCAAGACTGGGAATGGAAAGAACTACAGAGGGACGATGTCCAAAACAAAAAATGGCATCACCTGTCAAAAATGGAGTTCCACTTCTCCCCACAGACCTAGGTAAGACATTCCCTTTCATCTTTGTGTTCATCTACTGTAAAGTTGTCCCTCTGTGTCTGTGAGGGATTGGTTCCAGGACCCCTGTGGCTACCAAAATCCATGCTTCTCAAGTCCCTTATATAAAATGGTGCAGTATTTGCATATAACCTACATACCTTCTCTTGTATAATCCCTAATATAATGTAAATGCTATTTAATCGTTGTTATACTGTATTGTTTTTATTTGTATTATGTTTTATTGTCATATTGTTATTTTCTGTCATCTTTTTCAAGTCTTTTCCATCCACAGTTGGTTGAATTTGTGGATCTGGAACCCATGGATACAGAGGGCCAACTGTATTTAGGATAATTTCATCACTTTTAATTCAAACCACAATATGTGAATAAGCAGATAGAAAGAATCTTTTTGATGTCGATGTTCAACTATTTTTGGCACCATAGTAGAACATGGTTGCTTTCTATTTTTTCTTGGATATGGAGGTTTCTTGAAGACCTAGAACATAGAAGAATGCCTAGTTTAAAAAAAATCAATGAAACTATGAGTTTTAGGCCAAATCTGAGAAAAGATCAAAGATGACTATGTTTGGGACTGAAGTAAGCATATCAGGTTAGAACTCTCATCACATGTTCGACTCAAATTGTGGAGCAAAAGAGTAAATAAGATATAAAAATGAAAATGAAGATACGTGAAATTCAAATGTTGCAACTTGCCTATTATTTATTTTAGTGCATTTTTTTGTACTTTTCCCAGTTTGGTGTTAGGTGGCATTAAGTTCTCAGTAATGACGCTTATCAAATAGGAACTTAGTGCTTGTTACTCACCTTTATCCATTCCCCCAACACTCAACAAATTGCCTTTGCTATATCCCTATGAGATGAGCAGATCAAATATTCCCCGTGAGTTAATGAAAACTGATTCAACCAAATGGCAAAGTCAGAGACTATCGGGGGCCATGGAGACACTCTGGGCCATTTTTATGAGGTAGTCTAGGCTCATCTTTATGAGGGAACTGAGGTCTCGGGGGGTGGGGGTTATCCCAAATAGGTTCACAGAAGAACCAGAAATAAAACCTGCCTTTCTAGACTGTAAGTCTTGTGATTTTCATCTAAATGGTTGTCTCTATACAGCAACTCATCTCTAGAACTGAAAATAAGCTTAAATCCCTCCTCCATCCCCAATAATTCAAGCTGCATTTCAGAGAAAACCAGGACTTTGGAATCAGACAGATCAACTTTGAATTCTTGATCTGCTTCTTCATAGCTATTTACACTTAGGCAAGTTTTGTTTTGTTTTGTTTTACGTTGCCACTCAGTTTTCTCATCTGTAAAATAGGGATAATAACACCTTCCTCAAATGGTTTTATTAGGACTAAAAGAGAGAATGTGTGGAAAGATGTTAGTGGAATTCCTGGCAGATAGTTCACATGGACAAAATGGTATTAACTACAAAAATTTTTACAGAGAAAACGGTAACTGACAAAAGCAGGTGTTTGGAATGAATTAAGACCATGGCAGCCTTTTGAGGCCTTTATATTTCTCCTGACTGTGCAATAAAAATATTTTGGCTCTCTAAGACTTGGCTGTCACAGTAGCAATGGTAATATTAGCTACTGTGCCAGAAGCAGCCTATCAATAGAGAAATTGAAAATCTGACCACACAAATGCTGCAGCACCCAGCTGAAATGCATTTGGATGACAATCTCAGATGGGAATCGAGAGCATCTCCTTCTGCCTTGCTAATAGCAAGCTGATTTTTAGAATATAGTCTAAGTGCTTCTTTTCCATCCTCCCCAGATTCTCACCTGCTACACACCCCTCAGAGGGACTGGAGGAGAACTACTGCAGGAATCCAGACAACGATCCGCAGGGGCCCTGGTGCTATACTACTGATCCAGAAAAGAGATATGACTACTGCGACATTCTTGAGTGTGAAGGTCAGGAGTGGTTCTAGAAAATGTTTTCATTTCTGCCCTTCACCTGTAAAATAATTTGTTGTAAAGCCCCTTCCCACAGGGATGTTATTAATAATTGAGTAACGTATTCACCTCTCGGAAAGAAGCAAAACCCCAGAATTAACCTGAATTTTTTTTTTTTCTGAGACAGAGTTTTGCTCTCGTTGCCCAGGCTAGAGTGCAACCGTGCAATCTCGGCTCACCACAACCTCCGCCTCCGGGTTCAAGAGATTCTGCTACCTCAGCCTCCCAAGTAGCTGGGATTACAGGCATGTGCCACCATGCCTGGCTAATTTTATATTTTTAGTAGAGACAGGGTTTCTCCACGTAGGTCAGGCTGGTCTTGAACTCTCGACCTCAGGTGATCCGCCTGCCTCAGCCTCTCAAAGTGCTGGGATTACAGGCATGAGCCACCATGCCCAGCAGACCTGAATTATTTTTATTAAAATGTTACATCAACATGTACAAATATAAAACTACATCTAAACTCTAAGTACAAACTTCTTATGCTTACAACTCTTACACAGTGTTAACCCCAAGACAGGTTTGCAATTAAATAGTTAAAATAAAACAACAAAATCAATAAAAATCAAATAAACAATATATATTTAATGTGGTAGACTTTGCTGTTTTGCTGAAGCTAAGCAAGGAACCAGTTTTTAAATCAGCAATCCATTATTTGAATGGACTGAGCAATTTAATAGTGCACCTCAAAGGTCAATGCTAAAAAATTTTAAAAAAATCCTACTGAAAAAACTGTCATCGTTTCACATTTCTGGCTACATTAGTGCAAAAGGGAATAAATAAAGGTGAGATTTGTGTGACAGTGTGGATATGGTACTGTGTGACAACTCAGTTCTCCCATCACTTCCACCTGTTCGAATCACGGGGATCCTTTATTTGTACACCATGTTATAGGTATTTGCCCTTAAGCACCACCAATGCATCACTGTTATATTAAGTCTGCCCGTTTTCCTTAGTACTCCATAAAATTTAAGTCACATATTACTCTGCCTCACCATGTTACTTCAATAATTCTGAATCAAAGTTTAAGTTTGTGAATAATTTTGCAAAAAAGAGCCAATCATGCTTCTCAACAACATAAAAAGAGAAGCGCTGTCACTTCAGGTGAATATTGTTCTCCCTGAGGCCATGAGCATAAACAAAAACTCCAGACTAAAACCCTGAGACGGTGCCAGGTCATTCAGCAGTCAGCGGAATGATCAGAATAATTTCATACAAAGTTTTAAAGATCATTATTGAAATGAAGATGCCAAATATTGAAAACTCCTAATGGAGAACGTAGACTCCTGGGAATATATGCACCCTTGGCTCCCCACTGGCCTGTGCATCCCGGTCTAAGGACATGGCATCATGGAAATTCTGAACTTGGTCATGACTACAATAGTTGAGGGAGTATTGACTAAAATATGTGAATGTTACGGTTTAAAAGGAAAATGACATTTGGATTATGCTAGAAAATCCTGAGTCCTTATTGCCAATTTTATTGCCAAGTGCCTGTTGTGAATTACATCGGAATGAGAGGCAAGTCGCACTTAAGTGAGTAGGATTCTGGTTTTTACTCTCTATTTTGCTTCATCCATTTCAGTTTTCTTCTTCCTCTCTGTCCTTCCTTCCCACTCTGTCCAGAGGAATGTATGCATTGCAGTGGAGAAAACTATGACGGCAAAATTTCCAAGACCATGTCTGGACTGGAATGCCAGGCCTGGGACTCTCAGAGCCCACACGCTCATGGATACATTCCTTCCAAGTAAGTCTCACTGGGAAAAACATTCCATGTTTAATTAAGGCTCTGCAGCTCTATCAGACATTTGCTGTCATTTAGATATTTTAGCATTCCTCAAGAAGTGAACGCCTGATGTTTTTAATTTCAAAGCTAACCTCCTCCCACAATATTGCAAGTGAAATACGCATTCTTGCTGCTCAAAATATGGTCCACGGGTCAGCAGCAGGGATGTTTTCTGAGAGTTTGTTAGAAATCCAGAATGTCACACCCTCTGAATCTGATTTGAATAATAACCAGATCCTCAGCTGATGTGCACACACATTCAAACACTAATGTCAGTAATGAATACATTAACATCTGTCTTCAGAAATGCACACACACATGTTGCTGGTGTATTTTCCAAATATTTTCCTTTTCTCTTTACTCCTTGTCTTTCTTTTCCCTTTGTACCAATGAGATTCAAGTCTCCTAACCTTTGACCTATGAGCAGACGTCATGGATTTTTGAATCCCTGATGTTTTATGTATATTTACATCAATGTGTTTTTCTGGAATGAGGATTCGTAACTTCCATCAGATTCTCTAAGGGGACCACGAATTTAAAATAAGAATAAGCTTCTTGCTCTAGAAAGTCATGATGGTTCCTAGAATAAGGTTTCGTGAGTATTCTATTTCACATTAATTGTGCTGGAAAACACCTCCCATTCCACAGTCGCTTCTGGTCTTCCTCTTCATTCTATGATGACTACAGGGCCATACCAGGGCTTTCAAGAATGCAGAAGTGAGGCTGAGCCACAGATTCCACGGTGGAAAGCAGCTCTATTGAATTTGTACACCTCCCATTCCAAATAGCTAGCTTAAAACACAGCAGCTGCCATTTTCCTTCAAAGGAGAAATACAGGAAAGACCTAAGGGTCCAAAACTGGGTAAAGGCACTTCCAGGAAACCAGAAGGAGAAGAGGATTGCTTAAGCCGCTGCTGGCTCCTCTTTCCATCCTGGTAAGCATTTACAATCAGAGAGGGAATGAATAAACGCAGAGGGCCACCAGGCATGGAGTGCATCCAACAGCCCTGGCCACTGGGCCCCACTGAGGAAGGATCCAGCCCCATACTGCATGGTGAGACCCTTGCAAGAGCACAGCTTCTCCTCTTGGTTTTTCTAAGCTTCAAGGCTGGTGGGAGCAGAGCCTGGTAGACCAGAAGGACCATTCCTTTAAGCTATGAAGATGCACATTTCTTGGCTCTGTTAGGTACTAGATGAGTATCTTTAGGCAGGGAGCACTTTACATTTTAAAGACTGCTATCATTTGTGGTTGAATAACTGGAATTTGCTTACATCAATTTTCCAGATGGCCAAAATGATAAGGTCACTGATTCTGTTGAGTGATTTTTACACATGTAAACTGTTAGAAAAACAGTGCTTGGCAGCCGGGCATGGTGGCACATGCCTGTAGTCCTAGTTACCTAAAGGGCTGAAGCGGGAGGATTGCTTGAGTGAGTTCAAGGAGTTCAAGGCAAGCCTGGGCAATAAGTGGGACCCTGTCTCTAAAAACAAACAAAAAAAAGAAAGTCCTTGGAATACAGGGCCAACCTTGTTTCCTTGTTGCCATCTCTGAACACAGCCTTCATCTGATTACCTCCTCCATGCCCGACTGTGCCTAGCACACAGCAGGTGCTCAATGTTTGCTCTTGAAAAAGAGTCTTATCCATGAATGTAAATGTTCAGTGCTACTAAAATCTTTCTTGTCCATTCAGATTTCCAAACAAGAACCTGAAGAAGAATTACTGTCGTAACCCCGATAGGGAGCTGCGGCCTTGGTGTTTCACCACCGACCCCAACAAGCGCTGGGAACTTTGTGACATCCCCCGCTGCAGTGAGTATGATGCACACCCAGATTCCAGGATTTGGACCTGCCCTGTTCTTGAAATCAAAAGAAAACATGTGTCAGTGCCTGAGTGCAGCCTCTGAAAAGTGACCTACAAGTCCTATGGGATGTTATTGGTCTTTATTTTATTGCTGGTTTAAAACAGTTATGGTTATTGGTTACTGTGGGTGATTGATCAGAGCGTCCATTTATCATGTTTTTCTTTCTTTGCAACTGAAACTTCTGCCTCAGGAGTTCACTGAAATGTAGGCTTTAGGTGTTGTTCATCCTATTCTCTCTGTGCTAAAGGGAAATCAGACCCATGCTCTCTGACACATGGATTTCATTTTCAACCAGAGTTCTAATAGTTGTTTTGTAAACAAAGAGTGTCTTTGTTTACAATGTTCAGGTCTGTGGGTGTCCAGTTTTTCCACCTTGGGGAGCAGAGGGTGAGTGGTGGGGGTGGGGAAGAGTTCAAGAGGAGAAGATGAAATGGCAGACCTAGTAGAAATGATGTGGAGTAAACAATTTTATCATATTTTCCTCTCTGAGAATTTGAAGCAAAGGATTACACACTAAGAGAAATACAGGCATGAAAGGTTAAAAAGGATTCAGTGAGGGTTGGCCTCCCCTCCTTTCCTCTGACATGTGTCCTTTGAAAGCGGAAGTTCCTCAGGCATTCTCCCTTTTTATGAATATTAATTTCTCTTTTTTTTTCAGTTTCTCTTTTTGTCATCTTTTTTCCTCAAGAATATCTTGATTTCTGGATGCACACACTTTTCCTTGGAGGTGTTTTTTGCCTTCTTTCCATGGACTCTTTCCCTGTTGTTTGGCTTTTATGGCATGTTGGGTGCCATTCAGTCATGTCTACTCAGTGAATAATTTATTCTTCAGGAAAGAGAGTGGACCTTTGGTGTATGTGAGAATTCGGGGTGTGAGGTGACACGTGTTGATACTTACCAGGTAGGAAGAACTGAGCAAAGAGAACATAGAAAGAAGCACCTACCCAAGGGTCTTTCTCTGAAGGAGTTCCTTGTGAAAGGGTCTCACAGGCATAGATGCTACTAAATTGATTTCATCTGAAAACATGAAACAATTCTCAAGTGCCAAATTCCAAGAGAGGCTGAGCAAAAGCCAAGACAGGCCAGAACACCCTGCAGCCATCCTCCTTAACATCCATCTGTGCATTCTCTATTTTAAAATTATTCATTGTAGGGCTGGGCACGGTGGCTCACGCCTGTAATCCCAGCACTTCCGGAGGCCGAGGTGGGCGGATCACGAGGTCAGGAGTTCAAGACCAACCTGGCCAATATGATGAAACCCCACCTCTACTAAAAATACAAAAAAATTAGCCAGTTGTGGTGACACGCACCTGTAGTCTGAGCTACTCGGGAGGCTGAGGCAGGAGAATGACTTGAACCCAGGAGGCAGAGGTTGCAGTGAGCTGAGATCGTGCCACTGACTCCAGCCTGGGCGACAGAGCGAGACTCCGTCTCAAAAAATATATATATTCATTGTAACTTATTTTGCCCATTCAAGCAACACCTCCACCATCTTCTGGTCCCACCTACCAGTGTCTGAAGGGAACAGGTGAAAACTATCGCGGGAATGTGGCTGTTACCGTGTCCGGGCACACCTGTCAGCACTGGAGTGCACAGACCCCTCACACACATAACAGGACACCAGAAAACTTCCCCTGCAAGTAAGTCCCCTCCGGTCTCATTCTGCTGCTATGGAATGTGAAATCCCATTGACTTTGCCTTAGTTTTAGTTACTGTAGGAACGCAGGATAAAGTATTCTGGAAGAAAAACTGATCTAGTCATAAGTAAAGGAAATGAACTTTAGCACGTTTTTTCCCGTAACGGTTGTTCTCAAAGCGTGGTTCCCTAGACTTTTTTCTTTTTGGAAAGCTAAACTCACAATCACTTCTTTTTCAGAAATTTGGATGAAAACTACTGCCGCAATCCTGACGGAAAAAGGGCCCCATGGTGCCATACAACCAACAGCCAAGTGCGGTGGGAGTACTGTAAGATACCGTCCTGTGACTCCTCCCCAGTATCCACGGAACAATTGGCTCCCACAGGTAAGCAAGGGTATGGGAGCTTACTGAGGGCCCAAGTTTTCTCCTTATTTTTGTATACCAGTGGCATCATCACAATATACAGTAGCTTTGTAAGTTTAATGCTATTGTGGTCAGAAAGCCTGCCCTTATGATTTCAGTTTTTTTAGATTTGTTGAGGTTTGTTTTATGGTTCAGAATATAGCCATCTTGGTGAATGTTTCATGTGCTCTTGAAAAGAATGTGTCTTCTGCGGTTGTTGGGTGGGGTGTTCCCTCAAGGTCATTTAGGTGAAGTTGGTTGCTGGTGTTCTTCTGTATCCTTACTGATTGTCTGTCTCCTCCTTCATTGACTACTGTGGATGAATGGTGATGTGTCCAACTTTAACTGTAAATTAGTCTATTTCTCTTTTAGATCGTAACTCTTTTGTATATTTTGAAGCTCTTTTGTTAGGCACATATGTATTTAGGATGGTTATGTCTTCTAGATGAAAGGACCCCTTTATCTTTATGTAATGTTTCTTCTTATCTCTGGGAATATTTCTTCTTCTGAAGTTCTGAACTCTCTTTATGGTGATATAAATACAGTCTCACAGCTCTATTTTCACTAGTATTTGTGTGATATATCTTTTAAATTTGTATGATATATCTTTTAAATTTATCTGAGCTTTTAAATTGAGATGTTCAAACCATTTGCATTCATGCAATTGTTAATAGAGTTGAATTTACATCTACCATCAAGTTAGTTATTTCTCTTTGTCCCATTTAAACTTTGTTCCTTTTTTCATCTTTTTCTGCCTTCATTTAGATTGAGTTTATCTCCACTACTCACTTAGTAAATTAATTTTTAATGGTTTTAGTATTTTCCACAATGTTTATAATATACATTTTTGACTTTTCACATTCCACCTTCAAATGATATCATTCTACTTGACATATGAATCCTTACATCATTGCAGTTCTACTTCCTCCCTCCCAAAATGCTATACTATTACTCTTTGTAATAGAAGCTTACTTCTACTATGTCACAGATCTCACAATACATTGACACTATTTTTGCCCTAATAGTTGTGTTTTAAAGTGATCAAGAATAAAACTATTTTAAATATTTTCTTTATTTATTTATTTTACCATTTCTGGTGCTTCTCATCTACTGGGGTAGATCTCAATTTCCATCTGGTGTCAGTTTCTTTCTGTGAAAAACAACTTTTAGCATTTTTTGTAGCACAGGTCTGCTACTGCTGAAGTCTTTCAGATTTTGAGTGTCTGAAAAAGTATTTTGCCTTCAGTTTTTAAAAGTAATTTTGCTGAATGTAGATACTGGGTTGAGAGTTTCATCACTTGCAACACTTTAATGATGATGTTCCATTATCTTCTGTTTTAAATAGTTTGACTAGTAATCTGATCTTTGTTCCTATGTTTTCAATAGGTCATTTTTCTCTGACTACCTTTAAGATTTTCTCATCTTTGTTTTTCAACAGTTCGACTATGATGTGTTTATTATTAATTTCTTTGTGTTTAATCTGCTTGAGGTATTCTGAGTTCCTAGATTTGTAGATTGTTGATTTTTTTCTTTTCTCTTTTTTCTTTTCTTTTCTTTTTTTTTTTTTTTTTTTTTTTTTTTGAGATGGAGCCTCACTCTGTCACCCAGGCTGGAGTGCAGTGGCGCAATCTCGGCTCACTGCAAACTCCACCTCCCAGGTTCAAGTGATTCTCCTGCTTCAGCCTCCTGAGGAGCTGGGACTACAAGCATGTGCCACCAGGCCCAGCTAATTTTTGTATTTTTGGTAGAGACAGAGTTTCGCCATGTTGGCCAGACTGGTCTCAAACTTCTGACCTCAGACGGTCCATCACCTTGGCCTTCCAAAGTGCTGACAGTACAGGTGTGAGCAACCGTGCCCAGCCTAGATTGTTGATTTTCATTGTCCTTGTAAAATTCATAGCCATTATCTGTTCAAACGTTTCTTTTTGCACTTTTCTCTCTCTGTATTTTCCTTTTGGGACTCTAAGTACCACGTGTTTGGGATTCTAAGTACCCACAACATTCATGTTGTTTCATAAATCTTGTAAGCTTGTTCTCTTTTTTTTTCAGTAACTCTTTTTCATTCTTTGTGTTGGTTTGGATAAGTTCTGGTAACCTATTTCCAAGTTTATGGATTATTTTTTCAGTTGTTTCTAGTCATCTCCTCAGCCCATTGAGAGAATTCTTCATCTCTGATATTATGACTTTTTTTCTAGCATTTTCATGTTACTCTTTTCTATAGTTTCCATCTTTGCTGAAATTCTCTACCTATCTATGCATACTGTCCACCGTTACAACAAGATCCTTTAACATACTAATGTAGGTATCACACAATCCCAATCTGATAGTTTCCAGATGGCGTCTTCTCTAAGTCTGGCTCTCTGGATTGCTTTATTATTCAACAGTGGCTTTTTGTTCCCCCTTGGGTTTTTTGGTGTGTCTTATAATTCTTTAATCAAACACTAGACATTATAAATAGAAGAACAGTAGAGGTTACAGTAAATATTATTTATACTTTGAAATGGACACCCTTGTCTTGCAAATATATATCGTGGATAATTGAGTCAATGTAGTCACTAGTTTAACTGAATTGGGATTTGTGATTGCTAGTTTTACCTTAAGTGCACCACAGATATAAATTCCTCCAGTGATGTGCTGCTGCTATCTTTTACTTAGAGTGGGGCCTGGGGTGCTAAAGAGTTTTCTCCGTGTTCCTATCCATTCCCAGATTTCAGCAGTCACTGCATGCCTGCACTACAGAGGAGATATCTTCATACACATAATCTAACCCCATTGACACTCGGCTGTTTCTTGTTACTGAATGCTCACTTTTTGGTGGACGTAGGAGAATACTTATCTCCCTGGTCTACCTCCCTCTTAGGCCAGTTGAGCACAGCTCGGCTTTGAAAGTAGTGATTTTTCAGTGTTCTTGTGCCTCCTTCTGATGGAACTTGTACCTGTGGTGGGTTTGGAAAGAAAGAGTAGTAGGCTTCTGCTTCATTGCAATGCAGGATGTTGGGCACAAGAGGATTCCCTGTAACTTCTCCAAGGGAATAAGATTTTTGCCTCCACCACTCTCTGAGAAGCTGTGGATCTTTGCCTGCAGTCCTAGATGCAGGACCATCTCCTGCCCTATCACCCAGAAGCTTTGGTCTTTGGCTTTGTTTGAGGAAGGAGCTAGAGAAATGTGCAAAGCTTTCATGTCTGCCCCCCACTGACAGCCACTCACCACCCACAGCCTGCACTGCCGAATGCATCCTCCTCTCATCTGCCCTCGTGTTCTCATGAACACTCAGTAGGGACCCATAAAAAAGAGCTTGCATGTAAGTGCAATTTCCAATTATAAGTACTCTATCTGTTCTTTCACACCCAGGTTTTAAATGAAATATTACTAGGAACTTATTAATGTTCTAAAATGCTATAAATCTATTTTTATGTTAATCTGTCTGCTAATACAGAAAAGAGAACAGTCATAATTCTCAGAGGCTACCGTACTGTTTTTGTCATAAATTGCTTCATGCTTCTTTTTTTTCAGTAATTGTTAAGCTTGATTTCTTTTATTTTAATTTCAGCACCACCTGAGCTAACCCCTGTGGTCCAGGACTGCTACCATGGTGATGGACAGAGCTACCGAGGCACATCCTCCACCACCACCACAGGAAAGAAGTGTCAGTCTTGGTCATCTATGACACCACACCGGCACCAGAAGACCCCAGAAAACTACCCAAATGCGTATGTCTTTGATTTTTACTGTAAGAGGGGCATCAGCCAACTGAAATTTCTGTTAAAAGAGCCATGCTTCATGCTTCAAGCCAACTTCCTAGGACCAAATTTCTCTTAGACCCAGAATGTGTAGAAAAATGTCTCAAGAATCTTGCTTTTGAAGAAAGGGCCTGCGAGAAGAGAAATTTTAGGCTGGCTATTTTTCCTGAGTAGTTTTATGGATGCAGGAGGACATCTGGAGGTGATGAGGTCACATTAATTGAAAGCTCAGGAGTACATATGAGCAAATGCTTAGAAACAGTACCATTCCACAATGCCCACTAAATATCAGTGCAATATTTCTACCATAGAAATCTATCATTTTAACCTCCAACCCCTGAAATGAAGGTTGAATTTGCTATTTTTGTCTTGGGTCACAAGTAAATATACTTTATATATATAAGTATGAATATATATACACACATATATATGTATACATATGTGTGCATATATAAATACACACATATATGAGATATACAAGTATACATATATAGTGTGTATATATATGTACACATATATGTGTGTATATATATGTACACATATATGTGTGTATATTAGAATATATATAACATAAATATGTATATATATATATTCTGACCTGTATAAACACAGTGGATCCTGAGCACCAGTGGCCTGAAAGGATATGGGTTGCTGGGACATGAAGAACAAAAGCAGGATACGCAGATGCTGAACAGCGAAAGAGGCCATTAGATGAACAGAAAACCAGGTCTAACAAGGACAGCTTTTCTTCCATAAATGAGTACACAATATATGGAAAAAACTATTTTTACATATTGGAGAACAGATAAACTGAGATAATTTAGAAAGGGAATCAAATGAGATCAACCCAATAACTACCTTGGCTTTGTTCCTGGAGACTTCCTGGGCTGAAGAACAAGGAGATGGAGCCCAAGCCGACCACAGCAGTCTTGCTGAACTGAGGAAGGAGACTGGAGTTGGGATTACTAAAACAGCTGAGATTTTCTAGGCTAGGTAATAACATGAAAGGAAACATTGTGGAGGAAAGCAGCTCCAGGAATGTCCATAGAAAAGTCCTCAAGTCTTTGGCTAAATAGAAAGCTGCATATGCACAGGGAGAGGTTCCAGAGAGAAAATAGGATAAAGAACAGCTACTGGGGAAAGAAAAACTGCAGGGGAACAGTGAGCTCAATGGAGATGCCAGAGCTCACATAGCACTGGGGGATATTTGAGTTCTGACCAGCCTGAGGAGAGACCTCGCTGAACATCTTGGGCATTCAGTAGTCACCACATAAAGCCAAACTTTGGGAGTAGGATTAGTGTATTCCTATAATAAAGGCCACTCCAGAAACAGCATAGTAAAGCTGAAAAGCAAGTCTAAAAAAATCAACACGATCTCCAAGTAAATTAACTGATTGCCAGAAGAAAATTCAACCCTTTAGAGGCAAACAACAAAATCAAGTTGCTCAGTTATGTGGCATCCACAATGTGTGACCTAAATTTATAACTTTACCAGACATACAAAAAGCATTTACTGTGATCCATAACCAGGAGAAAAAGCACTCAAAACAAATAAACCCCAAAATGAAGAAATTGGCAAGAAGATTTGAAATATATATATATCATAATTGTGTTCAAGGATTTAAATAAAACATGAACATGGAAGAAACAAATGGATAATATCAAAAAAGAAAAATTATAAAATAACCAAATAGAAATTAAATAACTAAAAAAGTGCATGTTTAATGAAAAATGTACTGGCTACCCTTACCATCAGGTTAGACATTACAGAAGAAAAAGTTAACTAGAAAATAATTCAATAGAAGTGATACAAACTGCAGCACACACATACAAAGACTGAAAAGATAAAGAAACAGAGCCTCAAGAATATCTATGAAAATATCAAAAGATTTCATATATGTGTAAAGCAAGTCACAAGAGAGGAAAGAGATATTGGGACAGAAAAAAATACTTGAAGCAACAAGAAAAATCTTATTAGAAGCCAGAAGAAGAAAATATATGTTTACACAGAAGAATAGTGGTAAAAATGACTGATGCCTTCTCGTCAGAAACTATGCTGGTCAGAAACAATGAAATAACACCTTTAAAGTGATAGAAAAAAATAAAAAAGATTAACATAGAATGTTATATCCAGCAAAAATATCCCTTGAAAGTGAATGTTATATAAATACATATTCTGCCTCCCCCAAAATAAATAAAACACTAAGAGAATATTTCATTACTAGGCTTATATAATAAAAGATGTTCTAGAAATCTATTTTGGTAGAAGAAAAATAGTGCCAGATGGGAACTTTATACTAAGTAATGAAGAACCCTGGAAATGGCAAATGTAAAAGATTCATATTTAATGCCTTAATTTCTTTAAAAGATAATTGATGGGAGGCTGAGTCGGGCAGATCATGGGGTCAGGAGTTTGAGACCAGCCTGACCAACATGGTGAAACCCCATCTCTACTAAAAATACAAAAATTAGCTGGGCATGGTGGCACGTGCCTGTAATCCCAGCAACTCAGGAGGCTGAGGCAGGAGAATCACTTGAACCCAGGAGGTGGAGGTTGCAGTGAGCTGAGATCGTGCCATTACGGTCCAACCTGGGTGACAGAGCGAGACTCAAAACAAACAAACAAACAAACAAACAAAAAGATAATAATTTACTACTTGAAGCAAAATGATAGCAATGTATTGCTACTTTAACATATGTAAAAGTAAAAATTTCTAAATAATAATAATCACATAAATAATGTAGGAAATAAATGGTAGTATACTGTTCTAAGTTTCTTGCATTATCCATGAAGTTATATAATACACATGGTTGAAGGTGGTAAGTTAAAGAGGGTTATTGCAAATCCTAGAACAACTGAAAAAATTTAAACTTAGAGGAATAGATAATAATAAGAATGTTCCATTTATCCAAAAGAAGGAAAGAAAGGAAGAAAAAAGAATGAAGAAGATATGGCAAAGAGAGAAAATACACAGCATTATGGTACACTTAAACTGAACTGAAAATATATTTAATATACTCCTAAGCATATTAAATATAAAGGGATTAAACATTGCACAGAAAAGGCAGAGATTATTAAGCTGAATAAAAATCAAAGCCCAATTATGTTCTTTTTACTATACATGCTCTTTAATTGTAAAGAGCTAGTCCAAAAACCAAGTGTGGAAAATGACATATCATGAAAATAAGAATCAGAAGAAAGCTGGAGTGGTAATGTTAATCCCAAAGTAATCTACAAGAAATAATACCACGATGAAAAAGTTATTTCTTAAGTAAAAAAAGTTTATTCATCAAGACTTAACAATGCTAAATGGGTTGCACCCTCATAAGAGCCCTTCTGATATATGAAGCAAACACTGACAGAACTGAAGAGACAAACAGATAAGCCCACAATTAGAGTGGGAGATATCCTAATGTCTCTCTCCGTATGGTTATACATCTTCCCAAACAAAATATAATAGAAAAAATACACAAAAAAATCAGAAAGAATATATATGTTTTAAAGGAAATTGTCAACCTATTTAACACTATGCCAAACTGCAGAATACACATTCAAGTATGCATGGAGCATTCCCCAACATATACCATATGTGTGGGCCTACAGCAAGTCTTAATAGATTGAAAAGAATTAAAATGATACAGAGTCTGTTTTTGAGCAAAACAGAATTAAATGAGATATAAATAACAAAAAAATTGGGAAATTATCAAATATCTGAAAATGAAACAACACATTTCCAAATACTTCATAAGTCAAAGAAGGAATTTAGAAAAGTTTTGAACTGAATAATAGTAAAAATACAACATATCAAAGTTCGTATGATGCAGCGAATGTTTTTAGGGTTTTATAACTTTAAATGCTTTCAGTAGAAAATAGAAACATGTAAAAATCAATGACTTAAGATGGCATTTCTCAAAGTATGCTCTGGAGAAACCTGAAGTCTCTTGAGATCCCTTCAGAGACAGTCTATGAGGTTAAAACACCTTTAAATTTAAAAAAAAAAGATTTTATTTGCTATTTCACTTTTATTTCCTGATAAGTGTACAGTGGAGTTTTCCAGAGGCTACATAATGTTTGATCACATTATCTCTCTGATGGCTAATAAAATGTGTGATTGTCTATTATGTTTAAAAACATTCTCAGTTTTGGATGCAATAAATATTCATAGTATATATTACAAAATGAAAGCTCTTTAGGGTCCCCAATACTTTTTAAGAGTTAAAGGGGTCTTAAGACCAAAAACTTTGAGAACTGTTGATTTAAGATAACTTAAACATCTAGAAAAGGAGAAGCAAATAAGATCCAAGGTAAGTGGAAGGAAGGAAAGAATGAAAATCTGTGAAATCCAGTGTATAAGAATATAGACAAACAATTGAGTAAATCTGTGAAACAGAAAGTTGGTTCTTTTGAAAGATTCATGTAATTGATAAACCTCTGCCTAAACTGACGACAAAGGAGGGAGCACCACCGTCAACATCAGGAGTAAAAAAAGGGAAGAGTCATTGCTATAGGATCTTTTTGATATTAAAGCTAATAAACAAATATTGAGAGCAACTTTACGTTAACAAATTCAATAACCTAGATAATATGGACTAATTCCTTAGAAAAAAACAAATAAGCAAATTGGACACTGAATAAACTGAATTTCTAACCAATCTGATATCTATTAAAGACAACATGTGTATATAATCTTTAATATGTTAATATATATTAATAAATCAATAAACTTCCCACAGAGAACACTCTAAGTTCAGATGGCATCATTAGAAATGTTATTATTTAAAAAAAATCCAATTCTTCACGATCTGTTACAGAAAATAGAGGAGAAGGGAAATATTTCTTGACTCAATTTGTGAGAAAAAAAAAAAACCCTAGTTGTAAAAAAGTAGACAAGGATATTGTGAGAAACTATAGCACATTATGTATTGTGAACATAAATATAAAAAGATGTAACAAAATTTTAATCATTAACATGATGAATATCCCAAACAAGTGAAGCTTCTCTTCAAGAATGCAAGGCTGGCTTAACATTTACAAAACAATCCATGTAATCCAACATGTTAACAGAATAAAAGTGATAAATCATATGATTATGTCAATAGATGCAGAAGAAAATGTGACAAAATTTAACACTTATCCATGATAAAATGTCTTAGCAAACTATGAATAGACTGGAACTTCTTTAACTTGATCAAAGGCATCTACAAAAGACCTCCAGATAACATCAACTTAATGGTGAAAGATTAATGTTTTCTCTCTAAGATTGGGAATAAGAAAAATATGTTTGCTCTCAGTACTTCTAATCAGCATTTTACTACATTGGTCACAACCATTGCCATAAGACCTGAAAACAAAACAAAAAGAGAGGAAAAAAAGGAAGGAAAGAAAGAAAGGGCCTAAAGTTTGGAGAGGAAGAATTAAAACTGCCTGTATTCACAGAAAGCTTAATTAACGGATGCAGAAAGTCCTAAAGATTAATAATTAAATTTTGCAAGATTGGAGAACACATAAGTATATACATGATCAATATAATAAAAGTAGTTGTATTTTTATACACTGCCAATGATCAACTGGAAAATAAAAATGTCAGAGCAATACCACTGACAATAGTATCAAAACCACAAGATATTTAGTGATACATTTAACACAATATGCACAAGAATTATGTACTGCATACTAAAAAACATTGTTAAGGAAGGAATCAAAAGATCTAAATAAAGATATATCACGCTTATATATTAAGAGTCAATATCACTTCTCACCAAATTGATCTTTGGATTCAGCCCATACCCAACCAGAATCTCAGCAGTCGTTTTTTTTAAAAAATGTGAAAAAATGTATATGCTAGAATCACAAGGACAATATTTAAAGAGAAGAAAAAAGTTGGAGGACTTACTTACCCAAAGGTAAAGACCTATAAAGGTACAGTAAACAAGATATGTGGTATTGGGAAAAAAAAGTATACAGATATAGAAATGGATGGTCCAGAAACAGATCCACATATACATGATCAATTTAGTTTCTAGGTAGGTGACAAGGAAATTCAACAGGGAAAAACATCTTTTCCAAAATCATTGTGAAACAATCGGATATCCATCTAGAAAACAAAAATAAAAACAAATTTTGACTTCTACTTTCCATCCCAAATTAATGTGCAAAAGCTCCTAGATCTAAATGTAAGAGCTAAAACTTAAGCTGAAATAAAACAATTCCAGGAAAATATATAATATTTTCACAAACTTGAGGAAGGCAAAATTTTTTTCAGGCAGGACCCAGAAAACACTAGCTTTAAAAGAAAATAAATTATAATTTGGGCTTTCATAAAATGAAAATTATGTTCATCAAAAGTCATTGTTAAGAAATCAGTAGGTAAGTAACAGACTGGAATAAAAATTCTCTCCATCCATATATCTGACAAATGGTTTGTATCTAGAGTATAAACGTTTCTCCCACTCACTAATCAGAGGACAAACAACCTAATTAAAATGGGCAACAGAATTGAATAGGAAATTTCTCAGGGAACGATGGACAGATGGACAATAAGCACCTGAAAAAATGCTCAACATTTTAGCCATCAAAGATATAAGAATTATAACCATCACAAGATGTCACCAACACTTAATGGGCATGGGTATCATTAAGAAGACACAACAATAAGTGCTGTCACTGATGTGGAGCGAGGATGTGCAGCTCTCGCATACGCTGGTTAAAGTACAGTATGCTGGTTTTCCATAAAGTTAAATAACTATGAGTCTACCCCAAAAAACTGCAATTCTATTCCTGAATATTTACCCCATGGAAATGAAAACAGAAGTCCACAAAGAGATCTACAAGAATATTCACAGCAGCTCTAGTTATTATAACCCCAAACTGTAAACAACTACAAGGTCAATCAATGAGAAAATGAATCGATAATTTGTGATCTATTCATATAATGGAATATTATTAAGCAATTAAAATGAAGAAGTGACTGATCCTCTCAAATAGGATGGATGGAACTCAAAAATATATTAAGGAAAGGAGGCAGATACATAAGTGTACATTCTGTATGAGCCCATTTATATCAGGTTTGAGGAGAGGTAAAACTAATCTTTAGTGAAGGAAACCAATAGTATTTCCCTCTGGCAGTGGGAAGAGGGTAGCAGGAATTGAATGAGCAGTGACACAGGGTGTTTCTAGAGTAATGGAAGTGTTCTGTATCATATGGGAGTGTGGTTTACACAAGTATAGGTGATCATCAAAACTCACCAAACAACATTTAAGATCTGTGCATTTCACACTATGTAAAAGTATACCTCAACTGAAGAGAGTGGAAATCTGTTTCAAATGCTCAGCCTTTTAACACATCCAGTTGCTTAGACTATGAACTTCCTCAAATGGGGTGTCTGGGCTTGAGATTAGATCACATGTGTAGAGTCGCTAGAGAGACAATGTTGCATTCCCATGGTACATAATACATTTCCCGTTTTCTCAGACAGCCACAGGTCATGAATGTGAGGATTCTGAGAGGTTGGAGCAACATTCTTGGGAGGCATGAGGGGGAGCACATTCTCCAAGATCCCCCCCAGCCCGGGGTCCTCGCCTGCTTTGACTATTACTCCGTTGTTTTCGGACTCCTCCGTAGCTGCCCGACCTCTTCAGATCCCATAGTCTCCCTTTATATCTTGAGTCCCACTGTTCTTCCAACTCATCCCCCATTCCCTCAGACCTGGAGTGGCAGTGGCCAGCAGAGGATGGATTGAGAGCAGGAGAGGATGTCCTGCCCAGGAACCCATCCTAGAGAAATGGCATCCTGCCTGGGAGCTAGTTTCCCAGGGTGGCTTTGATACGTCTTGCAGAAACAAACCCACTTGACACACCTGATACGGTATTGACAGTAACACTATTTTTCGTGGTTGTTTTTCATAGTAAAAGTAGATCCCTTTAGTTACACTGTGAGTACTTAGAGTAAGGTGACTGGCCTGGGAATGATACCATCTTGGATGTCATTTTCTCCTTGGAGAAATGTATTTTAGTTCCAATGCACATTTCACAATACAGTCCTATAGAGAGAAATACAGAGAGCTAGACAGTTAGAGATATACTTTTATGTGCATAAAAATATAAAATATGCACTTTAAAATCTGTACCTGTTATTCCTGAGAAATGTATTTGGCAGAAGGTGGGAGGGGGATATTCTGATCCTTTTATTTACATGTTTATGTATGATCTGAGTTTTTATATGGAGCATATACTACTTTTGATTTTTTAAAGAAAAATTAAAATCTGTCTTTGAAATGTACACAGTTGTTTAGAAGTTGAGGACCATTTTTGTTTGTTACAACATTATTGTACCTATAATGGGAATATTTCAAAGCCACTTGTTAACACTTTGTTAGAACAAAATGTAGAGGGTGCTGGGTGCCCCTGAATATTCTCCCACCTCTTGTGACCTGTATTGTTTTGGAATTTCCAGTGGCCTGACAATGAACTACTGCAGGAATCCAGATGCCGATAAAGGCCCCTGGTGTTTTACCACAGACCCCAGCGTCAGGTGGGAGTACTGCAACCTGAAAAAATGCTCAGGAACAGAAGCGAGTGTTGTAGCACCTCCGCCTGTTGTCCTGCTTCCAGATGTAGAGACTCCTTCCGAAGAAGGTAAGAAATCTGTGGCTGGACATCTACACACTTGGACGCTGGGATGAAAAGCCATGGAAAATCTCACTGATGCAGAAACCTTCCATGCTACACGAGAAATCAAGTGTTTTTAGAGGGTCTGCCATGTGGAAGGAAGCCTCAGTGCACTCTCTCAAGGAGGCAGAGGTGTGACTTTTGGCACAACGTGAGTGGGCTGTGCCTTTAGGACAGGTGCAAACCCTCCAAGGTGCTCAACTTAACCACTCACCTTGTTCTAAAATGGGTTATCTCAGTATCCCAGTCCAAATTCGTATTCTATCATGCTGCCATATGTGTGATTCTTTCCAAGCCAGTAAGCATCTCCAGTAATTTCTTAAGGTAGGCAGCGTTCATTGCAGTCTTCAGCATTGCAGTTTCTGAGGAATGTGGCCCCTGATTCTGTCATCCTAGAGAAACCTGACATGACTGTATTGATTCCATATCATCCTGGGTCTCTGTGGCTCTTCATAATCATCCATTTTTTCCCTGTACAGACTGTATGTTTGGGAATGGGAAAGGATACCGAGGCAAGAGGGCGACCACTGTTACTGGGACGCCATGCCAGGACTGGGCTGCCCAGGAGCCCCATAGACACAGCATTTTCACTCCAGAGACAAATCCACGGGCGGGTCTGGAAAAAAATGTAAGCCACTTTGATTTGGACTCTTTGGCCTTTTGCTCACCAATCTTTGCAAACAGAATTGGTTCTGTGTTACAGAAAATCTGACCTGGACTGCTCTTTTTTGTAATGGGGGAGAGGGGACAGAAGAAAATATTGGAAAGGCATCAGGGGGCTAAGCTAGAATATAATTGGCCTTAGTATGGAAAGTACAAGCAGCACAGGCCAGGAAACCTCCACACATGTGAGGGTTCTCAGGCCTCTTCCCTTTAGTGACATTTCTTTAAAGTTTCCATTATTGGGGACTGTCTCTAGTTTCTAGTGTTTGTATGCTAGGTTCCAGTAATCAAAGATGCCCTTTATGAAATTTAAGTCAGATTTTTCGAGAAAAAATTTGGATGGGCCATCAGGTCACCATGGGACTTCCCTTAGCCTCATGCATTCTCTGCGATGGTTTACTTTGGGGCCTATGAATAGGGAAGACTGAGATATAGGAAAAACCAAAGTGTCTGTGTTCCCCCACTCTCACACCCATGCAGCATAACACTTCTCACACCAGATGTGGGGGGATTTCTCCTCACACCCCAAGCGAGTCTCCAGCAGATACCAGCTGGGTGTCCTACAATGTAACTCAGTGCTGACACTCTATCTGGAGACAGTGTCAGATCCCATAAGTTAAGGCTCAGTCCCACAAGACCGCCCCACTGCAGATGCCAATCCCAAGTTCCAGGCGGTGACCTGTACTTCTGCCCAACTGGACAAAAATCTGTTTTTCTACTTGATTACTTTGCTAGAGTGGCTCACAGAACTCAGGGGAACACGTTACTTTTATTTACCCATTTGTTATAAAAGATATTACAAAGGATCCTGGTGAACAGCCAGACAGAAGAGATGCACGGGGCAAGGCATGTGAGAAGGGGCTCAGAGTTTCCATGCCCTCTCCAGTGCACCAGCCCCCGGTACCCCAAGTGTTCAGCAACCCAGAAGCTCTCCAAGTGCAGTCTTGCTGGGTTTTTATGGAGGCTTCATTACAGAGGCACAGTTGAATACATCGTTGGCCATTGGAGACCAGCTCACCTTCAGCTCCTGTTCCCTCCCTGGAAGTTGGACGTGGGGGGCTGAACAGTTCCAACCCTGCAATCACATGGTTGGTTCCTTTGGCAACCAGCCCCATCCTGAGACTATCCAAGAACCCACCAAGAGTTGCTTCATTCAAACAAAAGATGCTCCCTTCACTCAGGAACCCCCAAGGGATTTAGGAGCTCCGTGTCAGGAACTGGGGGGCAGAGACCAAATATACGTTTCTTATTCTACCACAGTGTCATATGAAGGGGAGGACAACACTGCCTTTCTGTGTCTTGCCCCATAGAGGGCGCACAATGCATGGAAATAAATGTTTCTGAATCAACAGCAAACAGGCTTCATCGGGTAGGAGAGCGCTGAGCCCTCCAGGGACAATGCACATCAATGATGTCCCACTGTCCTTTGGTGCTGGGGCTCTAAGGCCTCCACTGGGTCAGGCTCCTGAAGGGAGACCCATTCTCCAAAGACCCCCGAGGGTCACCACTCCCTGTCCAGGGGTGTGGCCTCATAGCTCCTTTTGAACAGGGGCACAGGAAGGACGGCTTTAGAGCATTCAAAAAATAACTTTGCCAAAATAATAATAATAATAATAGAAAGGAAGAAGAGGCTGAGCATGGTGGCTCACACCTGTAATCCCTACACTTTGGGAGGCTGAGACAAGCAGATCACCTGAGGTCAGGAGTTCGAGACTAGCCTGGCCAAAATGGTGAAACCTCATCTCTACTGAAAATAGAAAAAAAAATTAGCCAGGTGTGGTGGCGTGCACCTGCAGTTGCAGCTACTCAGGAGGCTGAAGCAGGAGAATCGCTTGAACCCAGGAGATGGAGGTTGCAGTGAGCTGAGATCATGCCACTGCACTCCAGCCTGGGCGACAAGAGCAAAACTCCACCTCAGAAAAAAAAAAAAAAAAAAAAAAGAAGGAAGGAAAAAGAAACACTCCTTTATGTCTTCTAAGGATAGACATGAAATGCGTGAGCCTTGGAACACCTTCTCCCTCTCCTGCCCCACGTGAGCTGGAGCTTACATGCCTTCTTGTTTTCAGTACTGCCGTAACCCTGATGGTGATGTAGGTGGTCCCTGGTGCTACACGACAAATCCAAGAAAACTTTACGACTACTGTGATGTCCCTCAGTGTGGTAGGTTGCCTTCTTTTTGGTAAGGAAACTGCTTACTTAATATGGATTTGCAACAAAAAAGGAAAAGGGCTTCTGAGCAGACTGCTTCTGGGGAGGAGATAGCTGCCCTCTCCATCAGACCCCACTCTTCATCATGGGCATCTTGAATCTGCCCTACTATTGGCCACATTTGTTAGAGGAACACCTGCCCATCGCCCCAGGCACACATAAATAAAATAAATGTAAAATTCCCAAAGAGCAAGCTTAGAGGTAATCTAGTCAGCCCCAGGATGGTCCCACTGAATGCTGCCATGTCTAGCGTGGGATGCATGAAAAATTTAGAGTCATTCGGATGAAAAACTTTCCCTTTCCACAGCTGAGAAGTAAGAAAGAAAATACAAACAGCAGGAAACAGGTAAGCATGTAACGCACATTGTAAACCTCAGATGGCCATCCTAGGAATTCAATGAAAGGTAGTGCAGCTCTTTAGCCCCAGATGGCCTTTCTTATAAGTTTACTACTCACAAGTCACATTAGTGACATAGCTTAGAGACTGCTTGTTGGGTTCCATCCTCATTGCTCTGAGACTCTTGTTGGGAGTATGAGGCTTGGATCAGGGGAAGGGGAGTTGACATTAGTTCTTAAAGAATTGGAATAACAAATCCATGGGTATTTCTGAAAAAAAAAAAAAAAAAAAGAAAGGAAGCTACTTGGAATTGTCCCATATTTAACATTCTGCTGACCAATCAATTTGTCCTAGTTACAGAAAACCACCCTGGACTTCTCCTATGCATAATTTGGTTGCTTGTGGTTGGGTCTGCCATGTGGAGGGACCTTGAGCTGGGGGAAGGAGCTTGGCCTCCAAGTCCACTGAAGACCAGCATCCTGAGATTGCCTGGGAAGGTGGTACAGGGCAGTGATGAAGATCATGGGAGCCACACTGCCCAGCTTCGCATTTGGGCTTCTCCTAGGGACACCAAGAGGGAGGAAGGAGGGGTTAGGATGGTATGAAAGATTCTACTTGGCCAATATTATTGTAATGCGGCATTGTGATCTCTGGATTTAGCATGAGTTGATAGCTGACTTTTTCTGCAGAAGCATCTTGGTGGCACCTCTAACTCAAAGTCCCTCGATGGAGTCAGTTCCAGTTCTCCACTTCTGGCCCCATCTGGTACACACCACTGCCTCTCACTGCCCGGGCTCTCTATCCTTGACAGGCTGCCTTGAAGTTGAGCCCAGACTGATTTTCTTGCCTCAGACCCCACTACCGTGCCTGGGACTCATGCACCTTTGACTCCCATGGAAGGGAAGTGCAGTAGTTTCCCAGGTGCAATTCTGGTGTCCTCACCCACATTGAGGATGTACAAGAATCAGGTTCTTAGAGATTGGAGAAAGAAGGAAGAATGGGAACAAGATTTTTCCCAAAGGACTGTGAGGTCCCCCACCTAACCTTGATGTGAGACAAGTGAGGTTAACCCCAAGCCTGGTGAGAAGCGTTCCCATCAGACACTTGGAAATCCTGAGGACTGTTTCATGCAGAAGGATATGGTTTATTCAGGTTTGACTCGTGCTTGAGAAAGCTAGAGCCTCTGGTGGTGAATGATTTTAATAACTATTTCCTTTCCACCAACATATACAGTACAAATAATAATAAGCAAAAATAAATAGAAACATTCAGTTTTGTTTTGAATAGTAGGAGCAGGGTACCATCATTTCTGTAGTTACTCTTTTAGTACAACGATGCATGTCTACTGTATGTAAGGCATACTAGCAGAAATTGAGCTCAGCACTAGAGAAGATGATTGCATTCTATGCCTTGCTTCTTTTTTTAAAAAAAGGCTTCCATAGATAGATTCTCAGAACAGCCCATGGCAAATGTAAAGTTATTTGGAAAACCCAGGTTCCAGATTCACTAGAGCATAGAATCTCTGGTTGGTTGGGAAGGAATTTCCTCTTACAGTTGTTACTAATAATTGTATGAACAATTATTTAAAATATTAACATTTACATTTGTGAAGACCTTGAAGGGCTGGAGACAACAGAGAAGCATTTTTGAATACCCTCTGCAGCCCCTGCACTGTTGTAGGCATTGGTGGATGGTACCAAAGATGGGACACTGTCCCTACCTCCAGAGACCCTGTGGGCTGGCTACAGAGAGAAGGCAGGGAGGAGGAAAAGAAGAATAAAGTCATATGTTTAAGTCACCCCCACGGCCGTTGGTTAGTCATGGGAGGCTCCCCAGAGGAGCTGTCCTGAAGCTGGCTGACAGAAGGCAACATTTCAACTTAGGACAGTAATCCTTGCTACATACAATCACATACACACACACACACACGTGCACACACAGAGACTCACATGGAAAAATAAACCTTTGTGCCTTTCAGCAGTGATGACAATTATGGTTTTCAGTAAACTTTACATGGTTTAGATGGTGATGGTGATGATGATGATTATGGGAAGGATGGCATCATGTTCTAAACATACTGCATGGAGTCAGAATAACAATGACAAATAACCATTTGTCCCAATCAAGGTTTTCTCAGAAAATATCTCATTCTGATGCTAAACTATACCAGTCTGTTTGATCACTTCTCCAACAAAATAATTACAAAGTGCTTATATTTTCTTGAAAAGAGAGGGTCCTGTGTTGTCTACTACCACTTTTGAAACTTAGAGAAAATGTTCCAAAAGATGATGATTTTACTATTTAGTTCGGCCTTTAAGATGTCAAAAACTCAGTGCTTGGAATTTGTCTCGAATTACACCACAAAATTGCTACCTTGTCTCAAATGGGATTTCTTTCCCACCTTGTGCCACAGCGGCCCCTTCATTTGATTGTGGGAAGCCTCAAGTGGAGCCGAAGAAATGTCCTGGAAGGGTTGTAGGGGGGTGTGTGGCCCACCCACATTCCTGGCCCTGGCAAGTCAGTCTTAGAACAAGGTAAGAACAGGCCCAGAAACGATTTATACTGTCCCTCCACGTAAGCCCTGCAAAACCCTTCTACATTTACATAAAATCCACACAGCTGAGGCATCAGCACCTGCCTCTAAGTTTTCTGAAGGAGGAAAAAAGCTACAAAAATTAATATATGTATATATACATATATATTTTTATAGGTTCTCTACTGTGAAAATGACAAAAATTGCTGTCTTTTTCTTGATCTGGGCAGCTCCATCAAAATCTGTAGGCACAGTGATTTGCACCAAGTTCCAATATTGCTGGAAAATACTGAAGATGCTCTGAGGATTTCTATGGATATCCATTGTCTCATTGTCAGATGAAAAGAGGGGGAAGTTTTTAGAAATGTGACACTTTCTGGGTTGGGAGAGCAAGGACAAAATTATCTCCAGTCTATCACAGGCACAGATTCTTTTTCTTTGGACACTTTCGTGAATCATTGAATTCAATGCAGAGGCTACTCATCCATTCGCAAACAAAAAAATTCTAGGTCATGATCCCCATAAATGAAGAGTGATCAGTCCAATCCCAGGGAACCTGGACATTTTGGGTATTGTTTCAGTGGAACATGCCTTTCATAAGTTCCATTTTCTTGGGTATCTCTTAGGAAGCAAGCATAGGAAACAGGCCCATCCGTCTGCCTGTTTTGCTTCCTCATCTCACTTCTACACGAGGGTGCCTGTGCTCAATTGCTGTTTTCCCCTAAAGAGACTCTTTTCCATAAGTTTGTGAAATGCCATCGACAAACCTGATCGCATTGCATTTCACTCTGCTGTTGAGTCGATTTTTCTTTATTTTATCATTTAGTAACTCCTTGCTCTACAGAGCTTTCACCTTCCACATATTTCAGATTCATTCTTTCCTAAACTATGTGGTGGTCTACGTCCTCACTGACTTATCAACATGCTACCATCATGCACTTCCTATCTCTATTCCTCTTCTTTAAATTTGGTTCCAAATGGCTCACACCATTATTCTGAGCTATTACCTGCCTACGCAGTCCTAGAAAGTAAGTGATTCAGGAAACATTCCCCAAAAGTAAAGTTTCTCAGGTAAGATCAGAAGACTCCCATGAGTCACTGCTGCTCAGGATCACATCTGGCTCCTTGAAGAGTGATTCATCAGACCTTACATAGATCTTGTCATAAAAATGAAAGAGGCCTCGGGGGAAGGTCTTGGGCTGGTGGCTTCTGTTGGAGTCCTGGGCTGTGGGGTGAAAGCCGTGGCTGTAGAGCTTCATGCGGAGTTACTTAGCTTTGCTCTCCTGTGGACAGGCCATGCCTGTGCCTCCCCCAAGCATCGGAAAAATTGGCATAGATGGGCCCTTCTCAAAAATCCCACTCCTGGAGCACTGGCCAAAATTACTACCATCCTGATGCTGGGCTTGCAGTCCTTTCCTTTGGGAATATGAACATGGTCAAAATTAAGTGAACGTGTCTTTCTGGCTTTCTGTACAATGGAGCAGAACAAAGTATCAATTTAACTAAAATTTGAACTAAATCCTCTTTCCAGGTTTGGAATGCACTTCTGTGGAGGCACCTTGATATCCCCAGAGTGGGTGTTGACTGCTGCCCACTGCTTGGAGAAGTATGTTTAGGGGACAATTGACATGAAGTCTTGTCTTAAATACTTTTTCTGTCCTTCTTTTCCTCCTTTCCTCCTTTCCTTTCTCACTCTTCCTCCCTTCCTTCTCTGGCTGTGACACTAGGGACCAGGCCAGGGCAATTGGATAAGAGAGAAGGGAAGGGTTTCTAGAAAGAAACTGCAGAGGAAAGACACAGTACAGATGATTTTGTGGGCCTGAATAAACTGCAGAACAGAGCTGTTCACTACCATAGGCTGTATCAGTCTCTGCCCAAACAGCCCAAGAACATTCCTTAACTGCCTGTTTCAAGCAAATCATGAATTTTGCTTCTTGCCACTCAGAAGTCACTAATTCTGAGTGGCCAAGGGTGTCAGGGAGACAGCACCAATTTCATGGCACAGAGGTTACCTGAAGGGGCTGGACCATATTTTCCTCTTGACGTCCTCATCTTTTCTAGGTCCCCAAGGCCTTCATCCTACAAGGTCATCCTGGGTGCACACCAAGAAGTGAATCTCGAACCGCATGTTCAGGAAATAGAAGTGTCTAGGCTGTTCTTGGAGCCCACACGAAAAGATATTGCCTTGCTAAAGCTAAGCAGGTACTCGTTCACCTGTGGTCTTCACCCCACGCTGGTGAAGATATTTGCTTTATGTCTGGGTTTTATGGGCCATGGCCACTGCATGGCAGTGGGGAGGAACTGTCTATCACATGAAAGGCTCAAGGGCTTTGGGGACAGCATCAATCTTCAACCCTAGCCCTGCCACATGCTAGCTGTGCTCTTGAGAAAGGCAGCAGGACTCCGTTTTCTCATGTGGAAAAAGAGTTGAAATGAGGTACTCTGTTACTCCTAGAACTCACTTAATGTTCACCAGTTCATACACATTCATGATCAGAGAACGATTCAGTTATTCCAGGCTGACAATTCCCCCTTCATCATAATATGTTTAAGAGAATCATATAAGACTATATTTGTTTCAAAGCACTTTAAAAACCACAAGATCGAGTTGGGTGTCTGGTGTGGGTGCCTGTAATCCCAGCTACTTGGGAGGCTGAGGCAGGAGGGTCACTTGAGTCCCGGAGTTTGAGGCTGCAGTGAGTTATGATCGTGTCACTGCATTCCAGCCTGGGCGACAGAGTAAGACACTGTACCAAAAAAAAAAACACCAAAAAAACAAAAAACAAACAAAAAAAAAACAACTTCACAATGTCAAAAAAATCACAAATACAGTTTATAAATGTAAATTATATTATTATTATTGTCTTCTTTGATTTGATTTTCTCTTTCCTGTTGAAATGTTGTTTCACTAAGCCTGACAAAGTGAAACATTTGCTTATGTCACTCATTTAGTGCTGTTTGGAGCCAGATACTAGTTGAGTCAGCTAAGAAACAGCTATTTGTAGGAGAAGCAGGTTTGGGACAGGTGACAAGGCACGCAGGGCGCTCGCTGTGCTGGTGGTTCTGGAAGACAGGGTGTCAGTGTGGACAGGGATGAGCATGGCCTGGATGAGAAGGCACGGGGCAGGAGCCTGAGCTGCTCTCCTGGGCCTGGCCACAAGCCCAGGGCAGCTTCTCTGGGTCTGTGAACTGAGGGGTGATGTCCTGGGATGCTCTGACACTCTAGAAGGAGAGAAGAGCCTTTCCAGCTCAGCCTTTATAAACAGTAGCTGATCTCCCTCCTGCTCCCCAGTGTCCTCCCCGCCATCCCAGCAAATGTGCAAATAGAAGGTCCCCGTTCCTCATGATCCTCAGAGAGCTGGGGTGTTCTGATGGCTTGAACAAGTAATTTGGAAATTTTGGGTTTTGGAGGAGTTCTCTGATAGGCTGATACATTTCGAGTTTAGAGTTCCCACCCCACATCCCCACACCCCGAGTCTAGGGCATTTAGTGCTCCACCAGGGAACCTGTAGAGTGAGGACGTCTGCATGACAGGCTGGGCCTTCTGATGATGCTCAGAAGCAGAAAGTGTGCCTGCTTCAAAGTTGGTGACGATGATGTTTCTTGATCAGAATAGGGCATTTCTTATTTCCAATCCTTTATCCTCTTGAACTTACTAAAGTAGAATCAGGTCTAAAAACCGGAGTTCTAATGTTTGAGAGTCCCTGGGACTCTAAAGTATATGAATGTTCTTTGAAAACAAATACCATTTTGTTCAAGCAAAAGGCTTATTTCCAATCCTCTTTCATTTGGTATCAAGTATTTTACTGGATTCTTACAACTATGGCGTAGTAACATTCACTGAGGAGGAAATGGAGGATCCAAGGATGGAGCAAGTTGCTCTGGGCACACAACACATTTGCAATTTTACAGCCTCTTGGTGGCATCTCAGTCAGACATTCCATGCACTGATCAATGCCCTATTCGATTAATGTAAAAGGACACACTCAGCATGAGATTCCAGTTGTGCACAGAATATACATGAGAAGTGCGCCTTTGTCATCCCTACTTTCAAAGGTGAAGGCCACCAGCAGTATCTTGCATGCAACTGATGCCTTTCAAATGAAACCTTACATCTGCATAGTCCATAGACAACCACAGGCAAATGTGAGGGTGAAACTCTGTGTTCTACGTTGCTCTGTGTCAGTGAAGCAAGGCAGTGCCAGTTCAGAGGGCTCTGGGGCCTCAAGACAGGGATGACTGGTTGTGGGTACTGCAGCTGCGAGCAGAGCAGTCAAACATAACTGCTGATGCTTTTCTTTCAGTCCTGCCGTCATCACTGACAAAGTAATCCCAGCTTGTCTGCCATCCCCAAATTATGTGGTCGCTGACCGGACCGAATGTTTCATCACTGGCTGGGGAGAAACCCAAGGTGAGATAAATTCCATTGCCCACATAACGAATTGGTTTTGACCTACAGTCCATGTGACAAAATGATCATTTTGGAGAAAGCTGTGCAAATTCCTATCCATGAATGTGGTCCACCCCACTCCTGATTTTGCCTGGGCACCTGTCTATGTCTTAATCAGTCTTCAAGGCACATGATCAAAGGGAGGAAAACTGTGTCTTTGAGTCTCTCTCTCTCTCTCTGTTTTCAGAACATTTTTATTTCAATTAATTAATTTTTAACTTTTATTTTAGGTTCAGGGGTACATGTGCAAGTTTCTTGTATATGTAAACAGTGGTTTGTCATGCAGATTATTTTGTCACCTAGGTACTAACCCTAGTACCCAATTCTTAGTATTTCCTGCTCCTCTCCCTCCTCCCACTCTTCTCCCTCAAGTAGGCCCCAGTGTCTGTTGCTCTCTTCTTTGTGTCCATGAGTTCTCATCACTTAGCTCCCACTTATAACTGTGAACATGTGGTATTTGGTTTTCTGTTCCTGTGTTAGTTTTCTAAGAATAACGGCCTCCAGCTCCATTCATGTTCCTGTAAAAGATATTACCTCATTCTTTCTTATGGCTAAACAGTATTCCATGGTGTATATGTACCACATATTCTTCATCCAATGTGTCATTGATGGTCATATAGGTGATTCCATGTCTTTGCTACTGTGAATAGTGCTGCAATGAACATTCATGTGCATGTGTCTTTAGGGTAGAATGATTTATATTCCTCTAGGTATATCGCCAGTAGTAGGATTGCTGGGTTGAAAGTTAGTTCTGCTTTTAGCTCTTTGAGAATCACCATACTGCTTTCTACAGTGGATGAACTAATTTACAGTCCCACCAGCTGTTAGTGTTCTCTTTTCTCTGCAACCTTGCCAGCATCTGTTATTTTTTGACTTTTTAGGAAGCCATTCTGGCTGGTGTGAGATGATTTTTCATTGTGGTTTTGATTTGCATTTCTCTAACGATCAGTGATATTGAGCTTTTTTTCATATGTTTGTTGGCCACAGGCATGTCTTCTTTAGAAAAGTGTGTTAGTGTCCCCTGTCCATTTTTTAATGGGGTTTTTTTTTTCTTGTAAATTTGTTTAAGTTCCTCATAGATGCTGGATATTAGACCTTTTTCAGGTGCATAGTTTGCAAATATTTTCTCCTGTTCTCTAGGTTTTCCCTTTACTCCCTTGAGAGTTTCTTTTTCTGTCCAGAAGCTCTTAAGTTTAATTAGATCCCATTTGTCAATTTTTGCCTTTGTTGAGATTGCTTTTGGCATCTTCATGAAATTTTTGCCCGTTCCTATGTCCAGGATGGTGTTACCTAGGTTGTCTTCCAGGATTTTTGTACTTTTGGATTTTACATTTAAGTCTTTAATCCATCTTGAGTTGATTTCTGTATATGGTGTAAGGAAAGGGGTCCAGTTTCCATCTTCTACATATGGCTAGCCAGTTACCCCAGCACCATTTATTGAATAGGGAGTTATTTTCCCATTGCTTGTTTTTGTCAGCTTTGTTAAAAATCAGATGTCTGTAGGTGTGTGGCCTTATTTCTGGGCTCTCTATTCTGTTCCACTGGTCTACGTGTCTTTTTTTTTTTTTTTTTTTACCAGTACCATGCTGTTTTTGTTACTGTAGCCCTGAAGTATAGTTTGAAGCCAGGTAATGTGATGTCTCCAGCTTTGTTCTTTTTGTTTAGGATTGCCTTGGCTATTCTGGCTCCTTTTTGGTTATATATAAATTTTTGAAGTAGTTTTTTAATAGTGCTGTGAAGAATATCATTGGCAGTTTGATAGGAATAGCAATGAATCTGTAAATTACTTTGGGCAGTATGGCCATTTTAATGATATTGATTCTTCCAATCCATGAGCATGGGATGTTTTTCCATTCATTTGTGTCATCTCTGATTTCTTTGAGCAGTGTTTTGTAATTCTTATTGTAGAGATCTTTACCTCTCTGGTTAGCTGTATTCTTACATATTTTATTCTTTTTGTGGCATTTGTGAATGGGACTGTGTTCCTGATTTGCCTCTGGGCTTGGCTGTTGTTGGTGTAAAGGGATGCTAGTGATTTTTGTACATTGATTTTATATCCTGAAACTTTGCTGGAGTTGATTATCAGCTGAAGGAGCTTTTGGGCTGAGACTATGGGGTTTTCTAGACATAGAGTCATGTCATCTGCCAACAGGGATCGTTTGATTTCCTCTCTTCCTATCTGGATGCCCTTTATTTCTTTCTCTTGCCTGATTGCTCTGACCAGGGCTTCCAATACTATGTTGAATAGGAGTGGTGAAAGAGGGCATCCTTATCTTGTGCCAGTTTTCAAGGGGAATGCTTCCAGCTTTTGCCCATTTAGTATGATGTTGGCTGTGGACTTGTCATAGCTGTCTCTTATTATTTTGAGATATATTCCTTCAGTACCTAGTTTATTGAGAGTTTTCAATATAAAGGATGGTAAATTTTATCAAAATCCTTTTCTGCATCTATTGAGATAATCATGTGGGTTTTCTCTTTAGTTATATTTATGTGATGAATCACATTTATTGATTTATGTATGTTGAACCAAGCTTACATTCTGGGGATAAAGCCTACTTGATCACGATGGATTGGCTTTTTTATGTGCTGCTGGATTTGGTTTGCAAGTATTTTGTAAAGGATTTTTGCATCAGTGTTCATCAAGGATATTGGCCTGAAGTTTTTTGTTGTTTTTGTGTCTCTGCCAGGTTTTGGTATCAGGATGATGCTGACCTCATAGAATGAATTGGAGAGGAGACCCTCCTCCTCAGTTTTTTTGAACGGTTTCAGTAGGAATGGTCATAGCTCTTCTTTGTACATCTGGTGGAATTCAGCTGTGAATCTATCTGGTCCTGGGCTTTTGTTGGTTAGTAGGCTATTTATTACTGATTCAATTTTGGAGCTCATTATTGTTCTGTTCAGGGAATCAATTTCTTCCTGGTTCAGTCTTGGGAGGGTGTATGTGTCCAGGAATTTATCCATCTCTTTTAGGTTTTCTAGTTTGTGTGCATGGAGCTGTTTGTAGTAGTTTCTGATGGTTATTTTTATTTTTGTGGCATCAGTGCTAACATCCCCTTTGTCATTTCTAATTGTGTTTATTTTGGTCTTATCTTCCTTTTCTTCATTAGCCTAGCTAGCAGCCTACCTATCTTATTACTGTTTTCAAAAAACCAACTACTGGACTTGTTGATCTTTTGAATGAATTTTCATGTCTTGACTTTCTTCAGTTCAGCTCTGATTTTGGTTATTTCTTGCCATCTGCTAGCTTTGGGGTTGATTTGCTCTTGTTTCTCTAATTTTTTCCATTGTGATGTTAGGTTCTTAATTTGAGATCTTTCTTCTTGATGCTAGCATTTGGTGCTATGAATTTCTCTCTTAACACTACCTTAGCTCTGTCCAAGAGATTCTGGTATGTTGTATCTTTATTCTCATTAGTTCAAAGAACTTCCTGATTTCTGCCATAATTTCATTATTCACCCAAAAGTCATTCAGGAGCATGTTGTTTGATTTCCATGTAATTGTACGGTTTTGAGTTATTTTCTTAGTCTTGACTGGTATTTCATTGTGCTGTGGTCTGAGAGTGTGTTTGGTATGATTTTGGTTCTTTGGCACTTGCTGAAGATTGTTTTATGTCCAATTATGTGGTTGATTTTTAGAGTATGTGCCACATGGTGATGAAAATGTACATTCAGTTGTTTTGGGAAAGAGAGTTGTGTAGAGGTCTATCAGATCCATTTGGTCCAATGCTGAGTTCAGGTCCTGAATATCTTTGTTAATTTTGTGCCTCGATGATCTGTCTAATACTGTCAGTGGAGTACTGAAGTCTCCCACTATTATTTTGTGGGCGTCTAAGTCTCTTTGTAGGTCTCTAAGAACTTTATGAAGCTGGGTGCTCTTGTGTTGGGTTCACATGTATTTAGGATAGTAGATCTTCTTTTTGAATTGAACCCTTTACCATTATGTAATGCCCTTCTTTGTCTTTTTTGGTCTTTGTTGGTTTAAAGTCTGTTTTGTCTGAAATTAGGATGGCAACCCTTGCTTTTTTGTCTGATTTCCATTTGCTTGGTAGGTTCTCCTCCATCCCTTTATTCTGAGCCTATGGGTGTCATTACATGTGAGATGGGTCTCTTGAAGGTAGCATACCAGTGGGTCTTGCTTTTTATCCAGCTTGCCACTCTGTGCCTCTTAAGTTGGGCATTTAGCCCATTTACATTCAAGGTTAGTATTGCTATGTGTGAATTTGATGCCCTCATTGTGTTGTTATGCTGGCTTGTTTGTGTGATGGTTTTATAGTGTCATTGGTCTGCGTATTTAAGTATATTTTTGTATTGGCTGGTAGCCATCTTGCTATAGTTAGTGCTTCTTTCAAGATCTCTTGTAAGGCAGTTCTGGTGGTAACCAACTCCCTCAACATTTGCTTAGCTGAAAATGATCTTATTTCTCTGTTGCTTAGGAAGCTTAGTTTGGCTGGATATGAAATTCTTGGGTGGATATTTTTTAAGAATATTGAATATAGGCCCCAATATCTTCTAGCTTGTACGGGTTCAGTTGAGAGGTATGCTGTTAGATTGATGGGGTTCCCTTTGTAGACGACCTGTCCTTTCTCTCTAGCTGCCTTTAACATTCTGTCTTTCATTTTGACCTTGGAAAATCTGATGATTATGTGTCTTGAGGATGATCTTCTTGTATAGAATCTCACAGGGGTTCTCTGTATTTTCTAAATTTGACTATTGGCCTCTCTAGCAAGGTTGAAGAAGTTTTCATGGACAATATCCTGAAATGTTTTCTAAATTGTTTACTTTCTCCCCATCCCTTTCAGAAATGCCAGTGATTTGTAGATTTGGCCTTTTTACATAATCCCATGTTTCTTGGAGGCTTTGTTCATTCCTTTTCATTCTTTTTTCTTAATTTTTGTCAACTGTCTTATTTCAGAAAGCCAGTCTTCCATTTCTGAGATTCTTTCCTCAGCTTGGTTTATTTTGCTATTAATACTTGGATTGCTTTGTGAAATTCTTACAGTTTGTTTCTCAGCTCTCAGCTCTGTCAGATCCATTAGGTTCTTTTTTAAACCAGTGATTTTGTCTTTCAGCTTCTATATCATTTTATTGTGATCCTCAATTTCCTTGGATTGGATTTTGCCATCCTCCTGGATCTTGATGATCTTCATTCCTATCCATAGTCTGAATTCCAGTTCTATCATTTCAGCCAGCTCAGCCTTGTTAAGAACCCTTGTTAGAGAACTAGTGTGGTTGTTTGGAGGACATATGGCACTCCGGCCTTTATGTTCCTTTAACTGCAGTGTAGGTTGAATACAGCCAATAGACTTGTTCTTTGGATGTTTTTACAGGGCCAAAGCCTTGTGCAGGGTCTTTATTTGTAGTTGATTTCTTGTCTTTGGTTTCATAGTGTGGTATGTTAGCAAGGTATTTTTGGTGTTGAAGCTTTGGGGTGTGATCCATTTTTTATTTGTATATTTCCCTACACCTAAAACAAGCAAAAAAACAGTAAAGGTCTTTGAGTCTCTTAATCCATAATTTCAGCATTCCTGAGTATGCTTCCCTGGGTAAGTGGGGTTTTCACCCAGCCCTCAAGTTAAGAGTGTTAGATTATTTTTCATGTGAAATTAGCCAGACTGGCTTTCTTAACACAATGTAAAACAATAACAACAAAAGTTATAATTAGACTAGTCTTCTTCCCAAATACCCACATGTCTAATGTAAGTGGGATGGTGTTAAACAGGGGACCTACAACTGGGGGAGAGGCGGACAGGTCCCATGGCCCCAGGTCTAGGATGGCATTTGGTATTGGTTGATGGGTGTGGATGAGAACAAGAGAGGGAACACTTGTGCAGGATATGGTATCAGCACCTGTAATACATTTTAGGGATTCTTTCTTCTCTTTGCAGTATGCCCTGACAATAATTATATCCATCAGCCTAGTCCCCTTGGCCATTGAAACACTAAGACTGTCTTAGGATCCCTGCTGCAGTTTCTCAGAGGTGCTAGGAGGGCATTAGGAGTCTGAAGCCCTGGAAGTGTGTTCTGACTTTGCCACTAGCTAGATAGACCTGGACTAGGCACGTTACCTCTTTGTACCACTCAGCTCTAACCCCTCATTCAAAAACCCAGCATTTTCAAGTGGTGTTTTTCACATCAGCCTTTGCATAAGTTTTCATTTGAAGAAAGGTTTGTTTTTGTTTTCTTGGTTTAATCAAACATTTAAAAACGAATGGTCTAGATGATTTCAAAGTGGCTTTCCTTTTCCTGTGCTTTTCCTACTATTTAAAAACTTTACCTCCTTGATTTCTTGATCTCCCTTTCTGCACTGCTGGGTCTGGGAGCATTGAGGCCAAGTAAAAGGAACCTTGGCAAAGGAGGAACACCTATGGGTGTGCCAGGCTGCTCCCAGTGTTTTGCATTTTTAAAAATTTAAATGCTGCAAACCTCTATGAATTACATATTATTGTTCCTAGTTTACAAATGAGGAGCCTGAGGCTCAGAGAATGTGTGGGATGGTACAGACTAACCTGAATTAGAACCCTGGCTCCCATTTACTGGCTGTCAGGACTTAGAAAAGTCATAAACTCTCTGGCTGGGTGCAGTGGCTCACGCCTGTAATCCCAGCACTTTGGGAGGCCGAGGCAGGCAGACCACGAGGTCAGGAGCTTGAGACGAGCCTGACCAACACGGTGAAACCCCGTCTCTACTAAAAATACAAAAATTAGCCGGGTGTGGTAGCACACCCCTGTAATCCCAGCTACTCAGGAGGCTGAGGCAGGAGAATCGCTTCAACCTGGGAGGTGGAGGTTGCAGTGAGCCAAGATTGTGCCACTGCACTCCAGCCTGGGTGACAGAGTGAGACTCTATGTGAGAAAGAAAGAAAGAAGGAAAGAAGGAAAGAAGGAAGAAAAGAAAGAGAAAGAAAGAAAGAAAGAAAGAAAGAAAGAAAGAAAGAAAGAAAGAAAGGAAGAAAGAAAGAAAGGGAAAGAAAGAGAACGAAAGAAAGAAGGGAGGGAGGGAGGGAGGGAGGGAGGGAGGGAGGAAGGGTGGGTGGGTTGTGAACTCTTGTTGATTGTTTCCTCAGCTGAAATGTGGGCTGCAGGGCTATTGGGGGAGAAACAATAAGAAAGTGCACCAAGCACCAAGCACATGCTAAGAAGTCCATCATGGCAGCTCCTGATAATAATATGGAATAGAGTTGTATCTAACATGACTCTTTCTTGCAAGTGACAGAAAATGCAACTTAAGTTGGATTAAGCAAAAAAGAGAAATCATTAGTGAACTGAAAATTCTGCAGGCTCACATCATGGCCCCAGACCCTGTCCATTATTCTTGGGCACAAATGTGACATTCTCGTGGCTGCAGATGCTGTGGTGGCTCTGGCTCTGCCAGGAAAAGAAATAAGGAAGGCCACTCTCCCCATTACACAAACAATAGTCTTCCAGCTCTGAGAGGTCGAACTTGTGTCACCAGCCTGCCCCTAAACCCGTCACTGATTAACTCCAACCTGCATCAGCTGTTCCATGCTGGAGGTGGACGCAGGACCACACTCATACCAAGATGGGGGCAAAGTGTAGTTCCCTCAACAGGATTATAGGATATAGTGTGATAGGCTGCTGGGCAGCCAAAAAGCAAACAGATCCTCTACAATTCCTCAACTGATGAAAGCACGAAGCTAAAATCATAAAGATCTGTGTGTGAGTTCTGGCTCTCCCATCTTCCTTGTGAGATTGAGCAGTTAGTTAATCTCTTTTAGCCTCAGCTTTCTCACCTGTACCAACATATAAGGTCATTGTGAGGATTAAGATTATGCCTCATGATCATCATTATCATCATCACCATCCACATTGCAACCACAACTACCATCATCATCCCCACCAACATCATCACCACCACCACCATCACAATTATCATTACCACCACCACCATTGTCACCCTCAACATCACCATCATCACTATCACCACCACCATCATCATCACTACCACTACCAACACCATCACTCTCATCATTCCACCACCATCACCATTAACATTACCATCACTATCATCACCACCACCACCACCACCACCCCCATCATTACTGCCATCAACATCACCATCACCATCATCACCACCATCACCATCATTATCAACCATCATCACCACCATTCCACCACCATCACCATTATCATCACTACCATTATCACCACCACCATCATCACCACCACCACTACCACCACCATCACCACCATCATCACCATAACCATCATCACCACTATCAACATGATAGTAATTATGATTACCACCACCATTAGCATTATCATTACCACCACCAGTACCATCACCATCACCACCGCCACCACCTCCATGATCATTACTACCCACCACCATCACCGTCACCATCATTTCACTACCAGCACAATTATCATTACCACCACCATCACTACCACCCTTATCACAACCCTCATCATCACCACCATTCCACCACTGCCACCACCACCACCACCATCACTATCATTAACAATAGACATCACATAACCAGTTTGTAGCTGGACCTTGAGCCCAGAGCCCACTCACTGTTTCTTCAGTCCCACCGCCAACCACCAGGATGAGTCACAAAACATAACTCAGGCCTGCTCCTCAATTTTCTACATGTCAATAATGACATTGAAGCAATGGGTGTTCTCTGCTTCTCAGAGGGAAGTTGAAATTCTCCTGCTCTTCCCTTCATGTTTCCAGATGTTCCCTGACTTGGATATTCCAAACGCAGAGTTTGGAGGTGTTGAGGCCAAGGGGTTTTTCCAGGTCAGCCATCATCTGCAATCACTGAGCTGATCCTGCTGCTGGACTTTCCCTGTTGCCCTCTCCCCAACGCCCCATCGGGGAGGGCTTCAATCCTCAGGTCACCTGTGGCCTTTCTGCCCTCAGAGGTGCCATCTCTACATCTACCACTGGAAGGCAGCACCTACTCACAGATTGCATCAATTTCCCAGCAACTCATGGTGGGTTTTCCCCCTTATCAGCGTGTTTGCCTTGCTCAGAGAGCAGATCCCAGAGCAGTGACACCTAACTTAATTTTCAGCAAAACATTTTGAGAAGGGTGCTCCCTCACACAACTACACAGTCCAGGTGATGCACCCACTGCCCAATGCTTGGTAGTCAAGAGGAGCTTCCTCCCTGCAGCTCTGCCCAGATAGGGCTGAGCTGGGCTCTGGAGCCAGGCGCTGGGATGAGCCTCTTCCATGCTGCTCATGTAAACTCCAGATTCAGTGTCGGTTTTCTGAACCCGAGACAATGATCTAAATGCAGTCGAAGGCTTTGGGGAAAGAGAGAGTGCCTCGGTTCTTACCTGTGTCATGCTCGCAAAGCAAAGAGTTTTGCAAAATTTTAATGAAACCTGGGCTTGCAAAATTGGAAAACTAGATTATTTGTGACGACACTGAGACATCCCTGGGCATGTCTATCTGGAAAAACGGCATTTTCTCTGGCAATTTTGCAGACATTCTATTTCAATTTGGCAAAGAAAATAAAGCAGTTTTTCACAAAGGCAGAAATACAACTAGAATGTTCACTCTCCCTAATTGTCAAAGAAGTGTAAATTAGAAAATGAATCAGGACAATTTCAACCTATTAGATTAGCTAATATTTTAAAAATTGAAGACTCATACAAGTGAGGTGAAGTGATTGTTTTCTAGTGGCACGGTACACTGTCACACCCTTTTAGAAAATAATTTGGCAACGTTATTGGGAGACAGAAATATGTCTATGTAATTTATGGGAACTTAGACTCAGAAAATGTTAAGGAATAAGAATGAACTTTATGAACAAAGATGTGGAAAGCTGGAAGCAAGAGTGGGGCCAACACGCATGGGGAGGAAGCATTTGGGCAGTGACTCCACAGACCCAGGCTCAGGCTGAACTACACAACCTCCTTACGCCTCAGTTTCCTTAACAGTAGAACAGAAATGATAAAAGTGCCTGTTTCACAGGACTATTGCGAGGATTAAGTGAGATACATCGCATTATAAGCTTGTGTCTGGAAAGGTTAATTCTTGGTAAATGATGACTATTCTTTTTTATTGCAATAAAATATACAAAACATAAGGTTTACTATTTTAACCATTTTGGAAGGTACCACTGAGTGGCATTTAGTACATTCACAATCATGTGCAACCATCATCATATTTCCAGAACATTTTCCTCATTCCCAAAGGAAACCTCATGTTCATTAAGCAGTAGCTCCCCTTAACATATTAGTTATGAAGATCATAGCATTATACAAAACTCATGACACAATGATGAGTGAAAAAATCAAGATGTGAAATTTTGTGTTATGATGTAATTAGTAAAAGAAGCATATTAAAACATCTGAAAAAAGAGTATATAAAAATAGCAATTGCATTTTTCAGACTCTACATTTTAAACATTATTCTTTATAGTTTTAAAAGCAAAAAGTAAAGAAACAACAACCAACCCCAAACCAACACGACAAAGCCCAGATTGTTAATTCCAGGGCTCAGGAACACAGAATCATATATGATGTTTACACTCTGCAGGGTCAGAGACTCCAGCGGCATTGGGAGCTGCCTCGTGTTCTGCAGCCTCACAGACAGGAGGTCCAGTGCCGCTGCTCTGTTCTGGAATATCCTCCTGAATGTGTTTTGGGTGCAGTTGCCATTTCTTTCATCTTTTTAAACACAGGTACTTTTGGAGCTGGCCTTCTCAAGGAAGCCCAGCTCCCTGTGATTGAGAATAAAGTGTGCAATCGCTATGAGTTTCTGAATGGAAGAGTCCAATCCACCGAACTCTGTGCTGGGCATTTGGCCGGAGGCACTGACAGTTGCCAGGTAAGCAAAGATCAAGAGACCAAAGTTAGTCTTGTGCTCTCTTGTCTCAGTCTCAGCCCCTCAGACTTCATTCCCCAGGTGGCAAATTCAAGGATTTTCAACCGAAGACCCCAGTCTAAGTGTTGTTTAGAAACTTCCTAGATCTGTCCCTGAATGCGTATTCAGATCATCTAAGGGGATGTCTTGGGGCTTGAGTTCCAAATCAGTAGCAAGCGAGTTTTAAGTGCCATAACTACCTCAGGCCACTCACCCTCCTGGGGTGTGCTGGTGGCCAGGGACTAAAGTGGTGACTTTTCCGGTAGGGAAGGAGGTAGAGGATACAGGACAGAGACCAACTGCACACACTTTACACTGATGCCCAGGCTAGCCCAGTCTAAAGGAAACACCAACATAGGAAGGGATGTGTGCAGGATTCACAAAAGATCTTTTCTACCCCCCGGAAAAACTAAGTGGTGTGGTTTCGCTAAACAGATTTTGCTAAGTACTTAAGCACTGCAGATGCTTGAGTAATATGCTCATAAGTTCCTTTCTGATTTCAATTACTGGGAAAATGTATATATGGATAGTAGAAGGATGGCATCCCATAATAAAAGGCAGGCAGCCTAACCCTCACATGCATTTTTCTCTCCCTCTGTATAGGGTGACAGTGGAGGTCCTCTGGTTTGCTTCGAGAAGGACAAATACATTTTACAAGGAGTCACTTCTTGGGGTCTTGGCTGTGCACGCCCCAATAAGCCTGGTGTCTATGTTCGTGTTTCAAGGTTTGTTACTTGGATTGAGGGAGTGATGAGAAATAATTAATTGGACGGGAGACAGAGTGACGCACTGACTCACCTAGAGGCTGGAACGTGGGTAGGGATTTAGCATGCTGGAAATAACTGGCAGTAATCAAACGAAGACACTGTCCCCAGCTACCAGCTACGCCAAACCTCGGCATTTTTTGTGTTATTTTCTGACTGCTGGATTCTGTAGTAAGGTGACATAGCTATGACATTTGTTAAAAATAAACTCTGTACTTAACTTTGATTTGAGTAAATTTTGGTTTTGGTCTTCAACATTTTCATGCTCTTTGTTCACCCCACCAATTTTTAAATGGGCAGATGGGGGGATTTAGCTGCTTTTGATAAGGAACAGCTGCACAAAGGACTGAGCAGGCTGCAAGGTCACAGAGGGGAGAGCCAAGAAGTTGTCCACGCATTTACCTCATCAGCTAACGAGGGCTTGACATGCATTTTTACTGTCTTTATTCCTGACACTGAGATGAATGTTTTCAAAGCTGCAACATGTATGGGGAGTCATGCAAACCGATTCTGTTATTGGGAATGAAATCTGTCACCGACTGCTTGACTTGAGCCCAGGGGACACGGAGCAGAGAGCTGTATATGATGGAGTGAACCGGTCCATGGATGTGTAACACAAGACCAACTGAGAGTCTGAATGTTATTCTGGGGCACACGTGAGTCTAGGATTGGTGCCAAGAGCATGTAAATGAACAACAAGCAAATATTGAAGGTGGACCACTTATTTCCCATTGCTAATTGCCTGCCCGGTTTTGAAACAGTCTGCAGTACACACGGTCACAGGAGAATGACCTGTGGGAGAGATACATGTTTAGAAGGAAGAGAAAGGACAAAGGCACACGTTTTACCATTTAAAATATTGTTACCAAACAAAAATATCCATTCAAAATACAATTTAACAATGCAACAGTCATCTTACAGCAGAGAAATGCAGAGAAAAGCAAAACTGCAAGTGACTGTGAATAAAGGGTGAATGTAGTCTCAAATCCTCAAAGAGCTGTGTTTATTTCATTGACAAATAGATTATTTGTATTCAATTCTGATGTGCTTTAAGGATGAAGTTTCTCATTTTACAATTAGCACACACTTCGTATATGTTGTCACCTGTTCTCCTTACACAAATGTTGTTCCCCATTTTGAAGGATTCCCTTTGGTACCAGTTTTGCCTGTCCACATAAAGTATTTCATTTAAAAAGCTCAGCATAAAATATAGACTGCATCTGAAAAGATATTGAATATAATATACATAGCAGAACACACACGTTCCACATTTCAAAAGCCTCGATAACAAAAAAGAAAGATCAAAGCCCTTATTAGTCGCTGTAAAGCCATTTATAAAGCTCCTGCTGATCCTGTTAAGCATGGATATAATTGACCTTTCTTTTAAATTAAAATGTAAGCTTTTCCCCAAGACAACTCAAAGTGCCAAGACTGAATGGGAACTGTCCATGTTTCTAACTCTTGGCCACGGGCACCATCAGAACTGAACTTAACAAATATATGAAAAATATCTCTTCATTTTTAAAATCCTAAGACCCAGAAATCATAATCCATGGGATTTGTTTAGTAAAGAAGAAAATCTGTGGCTCTAGGTGTCCACTAAAGGAGAGCCAAAAATGTCCCGAATAATCTCAGGACCACAGCATCATTTTATGAATAACAGAACCAAGACCTCAGATTGTACAACAGATTGGTTCTTATTGCTGGAATGGGGCATAAACCATGCCTGGAACCCCAGATGCTACAGAGAAGGTAGATGGGAGAGACTTCTGACCTGTTCATGTTGCAAAGGCGTGCGGAGACCAAGGTGAGCAGAGGACACGAATGCTCACATTCTGTGGCCCAGGAACCTGTGATTCAATCTCCTCATTAACAGGATTCCCAAATTTTCATCCTCCCTGCAATTTTTCAAATGCTCGGTTATGGGCTTAGTCCCTTGACTGATCAGATTTGATGAACATTTCTGCACAAATTTCCCAAATCCTTGGTTTTCAAATCCTGCATTCTTGATGGAGCTGTTATGAGAATCGGGTGGGGGGCTTCTCTCGTCTCTCTTTAGCCTAATGAATCAGAGACCAGGAAGAGCCATGCACCTGAGAGGCTCTTTTTTAAGCCAGCTACATATTATGTGTTCCCAGAAACTTCAACAGCACTACAAATAATCCTAACTCATCCAACATTATATAAAAATACTCTGGATAGATTGAGGTCTTTATACAGTATTACAACAGTGTGGCATAATGTAGCTGAAATGCACACGTGCATCTCTGCAAGGACAGCTTTGCAAGGAGGATCAGCTCCTGGATAGCTCCTTCCTTCCCTCTGTCAGGGGCCTCAAAGGTGAGAGCTGGAAACTGGAGTTTTTTTATTCCTGCCACACTTATAGGAATGTGGACTGAAAAAACAAAGGAGAAAGGAGAAAGTCTTCGTGAAAGATTATGCAACTAGTTAGAGGAAGGTCTTCTGTTATTATTTAATAGCATAGCTGGTTTTGATCAAATACACATACCTAACTTCTGATGAAAACCCAACTCAAAGGTAACAAAAATCACTTCAGGCTAATTTTTTGACTTGCTTTCAGACCCTAGACAGAGGTTAGTTAGCATTACAGTATTTAAGCTCTTTATGAATTTCTGCTGAATTAACATATGTTTGGAAATCAGCTGCTGATGTGAACCCAGCAGAAATGATAGAATAATCCAGTGCAGTTTTAGAAGGGAATATACTAACAGGTTTCAGTAATTTAGCACGAACTAGTTTTTTTAGAGTAAATAACCATGGATCACAATCAATGTGCTTAATTTGTAGTACAGTAAACCATACTTCTAGATTTTTTCAAGTGTGGGGACTAGGTATAATTAATCTATCCAACTTTTCATTATGAAAATTTATAAACAGAAAAAAATTAGAATTTGTGTAACTTAAATTTTTGTTGGTAGAATTCCTCATGTTTATATATTAGTTGGATATTGATTTTCCTTGCTCCCCATTGGGACAATCCTGCACCACCCCACCACCCTTCACCAGCCAAAAACAATCTCTCCCAGTTGTTTAATTTTAATGCAGCTGATGTGGTAGAAGAGTCCTGGTCTCAAAGGACTCCCTCTTCCTCCATTTCTTCCTGATGAGTTTGCAAATCTGACTAATTCTGATTGAATCAAGAATGAATGCATCACTCTCAGTGTGTAAACAGGCAGCAGTCAATGGAGTAGAATCAAAGGGAAGAAAGATTTTCCTCAGGATTTTTGAAATATTAAAAAACATTAGAGTTCCATATCCTTAATTTCCAGTTCATTATCAAGATTGCTTTTTATTTTTTAAGTTAGCAGTTAAATCATTTTTAAAGATTACGCAAAAAAACAAGACTATGTGTTCTATTTAAAAAAAAAAATCAAACAGTACAGAAGTCTCTGACAGGAAAGTGATGGCCCTCCCTTCGCTACCCATCTCCCCAGCCCATTTGTGTCCCCAGATATTGTTTTACATCTTTTACTGTAATTCTCATATTCATATCTCTGTCTTTTTTAGTGAAAAATGTCAAACAGAAACTTATAAAGATTTCAGTAATGTTAATTTTTGTTGATATAACTCTTCATGTTCATATATTGGCTGGATATTAGCTTTCCTTGTACACTATTTGCCTCCAAAACTCAATCTCTCTTTCTTTTCTCTGTCTACTTACCTCTATTACCTATCTATCATCTATTATCTATTTATCCATTCATCAATCCTTCTACCCATTATCTATCATCTGTGTCTATCTATCTATCTATCTATCTATCTATCTATCTATCTATCTATCATCTATCATCCATCTACCTATTATCTGCCTATCTACCATTTGTGTGTCATCTGTCTTCCTATCCAGCTACAGAGAGGGACTGCCTTTGGTTTTAGTTTTTTATAAATACTCTAACACATTGTTGAGTGATGTTTCACTTTGTAATCAGTCTTGAAAACCTGCCTATGCCATTCCATCTAGACAGACCTGACGTCAGCCTCCTCACTCTGTAGAGTAAGCCACACTGTTAATCCCCTGCTGCTGCACGTCCCAGCGATTTCCACTTTCCCACGTCAGCAGTTCCTGCCTTTAGATCACTTCTGAGTCTTAGCACCTTACATGGAAATGCTTCTCTCTTCACAATCATGTTTAAAAAATAATGAATATTCTTATCTAGCTTTGGTGGGATTTTTTACATTAATATTTTATGTTTACTTTGAATTTTTTGCTTACGATGTAAGATGAGGATTTATTGTTATTTTTTCCCCATGCATGTTCAATTTTCTCAACATCTTCCTTTCTCCAGTGGTTTGAAATGCTGCTTTTATTTAGGGTGCATTGAATTTTGGACAATGCCTGCCAAGTTTTTCTACATCATCCACTGTTTCTGGCAAGGCAATACCCGTGATTTCAGGCAAAAGCATCACGAGGCCACCACAGATGGATGCCAGGGTACCTACGGAATAGGGGAGAGGTGTTACTGCCCCCAGGAACACACAGCTGGGCCTTCCCCCACAGGCCTCCTCACTGTGAAGCCACCGTGTTACTCACTGGAGTGGCTCTCAACCACAGCAACCTCTACACCCCAGATCACTGCCTTGGCTCTCCTTCACCATGATTTCAAATGTTCTCTCCCTTCCTCAAACCCTGAGCTATGGCCCCTGTACACCTGGCAGCCATGGGTTCTCTCACACATCTCACAGTGATTGACTGAGTGCCTTCTCGGGGTCCAACACCCAAGGCCTCCCCTCCTGCATCACAGGGAAACAGAAGTGCTGGAGGGGAGTCCCCTCTGCACCTGCTCACTGACACTCTCACTTACCTGCTCCTCTCCCTCCCATTCCACCTGTCACCTTACACTGGAAGAATTGTCTTGGTGTCTACCCCAGGGCCAGTGCTCACCTAGGCTTGTCTTTTTGGGTGCCTCACTATGGTGATTAACCCTTTCTCCAGTATCTTTAACCTATTGGGAGAAGCTTTCAAACACATTAAGATCTTTCTTGTTTGACCAGCCTTCTCTCATTCTCACCTCATCCTTCCATTACCATCCTTTCTTTTACTGTTCTTTAGAGCCAAAGTTCTTGAAAAGCCACCCTCTCCTATTTTCTCCACTTATTTGTATCCAAGTGGTGTGCTAGTAAATGCCTAACAACTGGCTTTGGACAATCAAGCCCTGATTGGCAGCATCTGCCAATGTGCACGGTGTAAATGCTCCCACTGTGGGCCCTTCAGTCTACTGACACAACATCCCTGCCTGTGCCACTAGGAAGAGATGCAGGAGCCCCATCAATGTGGCTTCCACCATAAAGACGCAGCAGACACAATCTCAGGAACACAGGTAATACTGAAGATGTAGTAGATGAACTAGAAACTGATGAATGTTGAGACTAAAATCAGTTCCTACTTTAAATGCATAGACATTAATGTAACACAACAAGAAACATGAAAAAACAAGGAGGTAAAATAAAACACCATCAAAGGACACAATAATTTCCCAGTAGCTGGTCCCATAGAAATAAAGATATATTAACAACCTGACAAAGATTTCAAAATAATTATTTGAAGAAAGCTTGGTAAACTTCAAGAAAATACAGAGAATTCAATAAAATCAGAAAAACAATAAAAGACCAAAATGAGAAATGTAATGGAGAGATTAAAACTGTTTAAAAAGTCAAACAGAATTTCTGAAACTGGAAAAATAATTAAGTGAAAAATGCAATAGACAGCATCAAAAGCAGAATTCATCATGTAGAATAAATAATCTGTGAACTTGAAGACAGGTTATTTGTGAATATAGAATCGAAGAAGAAAAAATAGTAAAAAAATAAAGTTTACAGGACTTATGAGGCAGCATGAAAAGTGCAAATATTTTAGTTATAAGAGTTCACAAAGGAGAAAAAAAGGGGTAGAAAGCTTATTTTAAAAATAACAGAAAACTTTCTAAATCTAGGGAAAGATATCAACATCCAGGTCCAAGATGGTCAAAAGTCTCTAACTAAATTCAGTTCAAACATAACTACATCAAGGCAAAGTCAGACTGTCAAAAATAAAGACAAAGAGAAAATCGTAAAAGCAGAAAGAGAAAAGAAGCAAATCACATATAACAGAGTTCCAGTAAGGCTAGCAGCAAAGTTCTCAACAGGTTCCATACAGGCCAGGAAAGAGCAGGTTAATATATTCAAAATGCTGAAGAAAAAAACTACAAAATAAGGATACTGCATTCACCAAAGCTGTGCCTCAGAAATGGAGATATCAAGTTTTTACCAAATAAAAGCTGAGGAAGTTCATTAACCCCAGACCTGTCTTACAAGAAATGCTAAAGGGAGTCTGCAAGATGAAAAAAGATGCTAATTAGTAACAAAAAAGAAAACATAAAACTCACTGGTTAAAGTAAGTACATAGTCAAATTCATAATATTCAAATACGTTAATGGTGGCCACATATATCTGTAATATGAAAGAATGAATCTCTTATATCTTTAGCATGAAGGTTAAAAGACAAAACTATTGAAAATAATAGCTACAATAATTTTTTAAGGGATATATGCTATAAAAAGATATACATTGTGACATAAAAAAATTTTAAATGCAGGGAGATGTGGAGTAAAGGCACAGAGTTTTTATGCAATCAAAATTAAGTTGTTATCAGCATAAAATAGCCCGATATAATTATGAGACTTTTTGTAAGCATCATGGTAACCACAAAGCAAAAGCATAAGGTAGATATACAAAAGATAAAAAGGAATCAAAGCATCCCACTAGAGAAAAATCACTTAATCACATAGAAAGATAGCAAGACAGGAAGAAAGGAACAAAGAGTCTACAAAACAACCAGAAAGCAATTAACAAAATGATAACAGTAGTCCCTTACCTATCAATAATTATCTTGAATGAAAATGGATTAAATTCTCCAATAAAAAGATATACAGAGGTAGAATACACTAAAAAATAAGATCCAACTGTATGCTGCCTACAGGACACTCACTTCACCTATAAGGACACAAATAAACTGAAAGTAATGGGATGGACAAAATATTCCATGCAAATGGAAACCAAAAGAGAGCAGGTGTAGTTATACAGATTGAGTATCCCTAATCCAAAAGTCTGAAATCTGAAATAGTCCAAAATTAATAAAATTTTAAGTGCTGACATGATGTTCAAAGGAATTGCTCACTGGAACACTTTGGATTTTGGTCTTTAGGGATGCTAAAACAGTAAATATATAATGTGTAGTAGTCCATTCTCACACTACTATAAAGAATGCTACCTGAGACTGGGTAACTATGAGGAGGTTTAATTGACTCAGTTCCACAAGCTTAACAGGAAGCATGGCTAGGAGGCCTCAGGAAATGTACAATATTGGCAGAAGGTGAAGGGGAAGCAGGCACCTTCTTAACAAGGTGGCAGAAGGGAGTGTGAGTGTGTGAAGGGGGAACTGTCAAACACATATAAAACCATCAGATTTCATGAGAACTCACTCACTTTCATGAGAACAGCATGAGGGAAACTGCTCCCATGATCCAATCACCTCCCACTGGGTCCTTCCCTTGACATGTGGCAATTATGGGGATTACAATTCAAGATGAGATTTGGGTGGGGACACAGCCAAACTATATCATAATGCAAATATTCCAAAATAAAAAAAAATTTCAAAATTCTAAAAAAGTAAACCATATTATAATTCAAATATTCCAAAAAAATTCAAAATTGAAAACACTTCCGGTTTCAGGAATTTTGGATAAGGGAAACTGAATCTACATGAGGTAAAACGACTTTAAGGCCGGGCGCGGTGGCTCACGCCTGTAATCCCAGCACTTTGGGAGGCCGAGACGGGCGGATCACGAGGTCAGGAGATCGAGACCATCCTGGCTGACACGGTGAAACCCCGTCTCTACTAAAAATACAAAAATTAGCCGGGCATGGTGGCGCGTGCCTGTAGTCCCAGCTACTCGGGAGGCTGAGGCAGGAGAATGGCGTGAACCCGGGAGGCGGAGCTTGCAGTGAGTCGAGATTGCGCCACTGCGCTCCAGCCTGGGCGACAGAGCGAAACTCCGTCTCAAAAAAAAAAAAAAAAAAAAAAAAAAAACGACTTTAAGTCAAAAACTGTAAAAAGAGACAAAGAAGATCATAACATAATGATAAAGAGATCAATTTGTTATAACAATTATAAATACTTATTAATATATATACCCAAAATTTGAGTACCTACGTATAACAACTAAAAAAATTAATAGTTCTCAAAGGAGAGCTAGACTGTACTATAATCATAGTAGCAGACTTCAATAGCTCCACTTAGCTCCATAGTAGCAGACTTCAATAGCTCCAGACAGAGAATCATTATGGAAACATGAGATTTAAACTACACTTTAGGCCAAATGGACCTAACAGAAATATATAGAACATTCTGTCCAACAGCAGTAGAATACACATTATTCTCAAGTGCACATAGAACTTTCTCCACAATAGATCATATGTTAGGTCACAAAACAAGTAAACAAATTTAAGAAGATTAGAATCATACCAGGTATTCTTTTCAGATTATAATTGTATGAAACTAGAAATCAATGACAGGAGAATATTGGAAAATCCACAAATACATAGAAATTAATCAACATGCTCCTGAACAATCAATGATCAAAGAAGATATTAAAAGATAAATTTAAAAACTCAAAACTAATGAAAATGGGCACACTAACATACCAATAACTTATAGTATGCAGCAAAAGTGGTTCTAAGAGGGAAGCTTTTAGCAATAAACACTTACATCAAAAAAGAAGAAAGATATCAAATAAGCAACCTAACATTACTCCTCAAAAAAATAGACAAAGAAGAAAAGAAAAACTAACCCAACAGTTAGTAGAAGGAAAGAAATAATAAAGATCACCATAGAAATAGTGAAGTAGAGACCAGAAAAATGATAAAAAAAAAAAAGAAAGAAAACTAACGGTTTTTAAAAAGATAAAAAAATTGACCAACTTTTAACTAGATTAAGAAAAACAAAGAAGACTCAAATGAAATCAGAAAGAGGAGACATTACAATAGATATTACAGAAGTACAAATGATCATAAGAGACTACTGTGAACAATTATATGTCAACAAATTGGATAACTTAGAAGAAATGAATGAATTCCTAGAAGTGAAAAACCTACCAAGACTGACTCAGAAAGAAATAGAAAATCTGAACAGACCAATAAGTATAAGATTGAATCAGTAATAACTTCCATCAACAAAAAGCCCAGGACCTAATCATACCTGAATTAACTGCTGAATCATACCAAACATTAAAAGGACTAATATCAATCCTCCTCAAACTCTTCCAAAAAGTTAAAGAAAAGGGAATGCTTTCAAGTTCATTTTATGCGGACAGCATTATGCTGATATGAAACACAAAAAAGAATACTGTAAGGAAAGAAAATTACAGGCAATATCCCCGATGAACATATGTGCAAAAATCTTCAACAAAATACTAGGAAACGGAATCCAACAGAACATTAAAAGGATCATTCGCCATGATCAAGTGGGAATTGTCCCAGGAATGCAAGGATAGTTCAACATACACAAATAAATAAATAAAAGGATAAATGGATGATAAAAATGTGTGTATCCATATGTGTGTGTCTGTGTTATACACACATTTTTATATTATATATATATATACACTCACATATACACATTGTGTGTGTGTGTGTCTGTGTCTTATATACAGACACACACACACAATGGAATATTATTCAGCCTTAATAAAGAAGGAAACCCTGCCTTTGCATCAACATGGATGAACCTGGAGGACATTATGATAAGTGAAATAAGCCAGACAAAGAAGGAAAATACTGTGTAAGCTTACATATGGAATCTAAGAAAGTTGAACTCTTAGAAACGGAGTAGAATGGTGATTACCAGGGCTGGGGAAGAGGGAAATGGAGAGATATTGGTCAAAAAATACAAATGTGCAGTTTTGCAAGATAAACAGGTTCTGGAAATCTAATGAACTGAATGCTGACTACAGTTAACAATACTGTATTGCATACTTGAAATTTGCTAAAAGAGTTGATCCTAAGTGTTCTTACCATGTACACAAAAGTATGTGAGATGATGAATACTTTAATTAGCTTGATTATGGTAATAATTTCACAATGTGCATTTATATTAAAACATTACCTTGTACATCTTAAATATATACAATTTTTGTCAAGTGTATCTCAATAAAACTGGAAAACAATTGAAGAGTAATGAAAAAAATTAAAAGCTATTATGTGTCAAAGGACATAATCAACAAAGTGAAAAAACCTACTGATGAAGCAAATCTATTGACAAAGGCCTGGTATCCAGAATATATTAAAATCTCTAGGCTGGGCTCAGTGGCTGACACCTGTAATCCCAGCACTTTGGGAGCCCAAGGCAGGAGGATCACTTGAACCCAGGAGTTCAAGGCAGCAGTGAGCTATGATTGGGCCACTGCACTCCAGCCTGGGTGACAGGGTGAGACCACCATCACTTAACCCATTTCTTGTTTAGAAAAAAGAAAGTGCAGCAGTGCAGCTCACTGCCAGCACAGTATTCTTTGGGCAAACAAGAAGAGAAATGGGAGAAAAAAAAAAAAAACTTACAATTCAACAACAAAAAGAAAAACAAGAATGTAAAGAGACATTTTTCCAAAAAAGATATATAAATAGTCAACAAGTACATGAAATGATGGTTAACATCATTAGTCATTAAGAAAATGCCAATAAAGTCATAATGAAATAAGACTTCATATGCATTAGGATGTCTATAATTTAAAAAATAGAGAATAACAAGTGGTGGTGAGGATGTAAAGAAATTAGAATCCTGTACATTGCTGGTGGGAATATAAAATGGTTCAACCACAGTGGAAAATAATTTGGCAGTTCCTTAAAATGGTAAACATAGAATTACCATATGATCTAACACTTCTACTCTTAGGTATATAGACAAAAAAATTGAAAACAAGTACCCAGATACCTTGCATGAGAAGGTTCATAGCAGCACTATTACAAAAGCCACAAGCTGGAAACAACCCAAATATCAATCAATAGACGAGGGGATAAACAAATTGTGGCTTATACAGCCACAAAAAGGAATGAAGCACTGGTACATGCTGCATGGCTAAACCTTGAAAGCAAGGGCTGGGATGGGGTCATGGAAAGTAATAGCTTACTGTGTACTGCATTGTATTTTGAGGTAATGAAAATGTTTTGGAACTGGATAGAGGTGGTGGTTGTCGTGTACTACATAAAACTAATTGTCCACTTTAAGATGGTTAATATTCTTATGGGAATTTCTCAATTAAAAAATACCTTCCATGTATTCTAAGGATGATACTAGATTTCATTCAGTATCAGATACAGAGATTTGCTCTGGCAAAATGAGGAAGTAATTTTTTTGAAAAAGGAAGATGTGAGATTCAACAAATGGGGGATCAAATATCAGAGAGGCAAGGGGATCTTCTGGATGACAGTCCATGGAGATCCCACGACAGATGGACAGCAGGCCGGCCGTGCACCCAGGCCAGGCCAGGCCAGAGCAGGGACGATGGCTCCTGAGAAGCTCTCTCTAAGAACATTGCTAGATGGCCTAATGGGTTTGGGGGCATATTGAAAAGGTTTATAAAACTGAGAATTTGGAGTAGAATTAGAAAAATGACATAAAATCTTACAGAAAAGAAAACAACGAATTCTAGGGAGAAATATAAGAGTATACTACATGCCTCAGTTATAAATAGCATTTTCATAGTCATGAAGAAATATGAACACTGAATATTTACTTAACCAAAATTACAATATAATTACATAATTATGTTAGGTACATATAGCAAAAGGATGTGTGTGTGTATGTAGTATGTATGATGTTTGTGGTGTGTGTGTGGTATGTGTATGGTGTGTGTATGGTGTGAGGTGTGTGCAGTGTGTCTGGCGTTTATGGTGTGTATGTGTGTTGTGTACAGTGTGGTGTGTACGTGGTATGTGGTGCGTATGCTGTGTCTGTGTGTTGTGCATCGTGTCTGTGGTGTATGTGGTGTGTGTGTGCATAGTGTATATATGGGATGTGTGTATATGTGGCATGTGTGTGGTGTGTGTTTTGATGTTGATGGTGCATTAAAAGGAGTTAAATCCTAATATTCCCAGGTGGGAAGTCCATAGGTGTGTTAGTCGTTCTCACATTGCTGTAATACCTGAGACTGGGTAATGTAATAATGAACTATGTAATCAGCTACAGAGTTGAGGGTGTGGAGCTCACCCAGGACAGCTGAGCTACTGGTGTAAAATGAATGGTATTTTTAAAAATGGCTATTTGTAGAATTTACAGAACTAGGACACCCCAACCAAGGGTTGATAAGAAAGGACCCCAGGGCTCTGTCTCAGCTCTCCTGGCCACATCTGGAGGACATGGGCTTCTCCAAGGTCTCACACTTTCAGGAAGTGTTGATGAAGGATATGGAGAGACCTGAAGCTCTGGGCGCTGCGTAGTCTGAGAAGAGAAGCTTCGGGAACGTGGGAACTGAGTGCAGATACCGGAGGGCTGTCATCCAACAGAGGGAGTAGGTGACGACTGGCCTAGGGAGGGACCCTTATCAAGGCTGCATTTGTTGATTGCCTTCTTTGTGTGGGGCACTGCTGTGACTGCATTAAATTTCCATTTACCTAAATCCAATTTTGTGCGCTTGTTTTCTACTCTTGTAGGAAAGACAACAGCGACAACCTCAAGCCAGTAATCTAGTCAAAGGAGCAATTCCCAAGGCACGACATGTGGGGAATTCACATTCATTGGCACTACAGTGATTGCTGATAACGCCAACTTAATGCCTGGCCAACAGCATGGATCCTGACCTCCACTATTCTTGTGTGTTTAGAGAACCACAAAAAAGTGCAGTGTTTTCATTTTTGTTGCTTGTTTCGCAGGTCTACATAATCTACTTTTTAAAGTCAAAAACGGTCTTAGTGATGCACAATAAAAGTATAAACTCAGTATAGTGCATAGTATCTTTTTCATATACGTATGAATATATATACACTTTTACACATGTATGCATATGTATCATATGGGTCAAAACACTAGATGGAATGGAATTTTTTTAATTGAAATATTTTCTGGTTATTAAGCATATCAGCTACCTTTAAAGTATTAATTTTACTGTATTTATATTAATTATTGAAGCTTGAACTTCAGAATAGTGGAGGATAAAAGTTAAACACTGCAAAAAGATTTCTCCTTTATTACTTCTTCAAATCAGAGAAAAGACATTTAAAGAGAAAACAGGAAGTACCTTCCCCACTCCACATAACTTATGAAGTAAGCAGCTAATTGATCATACCATAAAGAGGCACCAAATAAAATCTGTGTGTCTCAAAACAGGAGCACTGCTTCTGTGAAATCAGTTAAAGTAAATACCCATATTGGTCATGCATTGAAACATATATTTTCCTAAGTGAATTCTCCATAATTCTGAAAATCAGTGAAAACATCATCTCATGTTACTTTAATCTACACAAAACCAAGCAGCGCATATGACTCTCCATGTTTCAGGGCATACACATCCCTTTCCACCAGGGATCAATGTGCCCTATGGGAAGCAACTTCTTGCCTTTTAAACCAGATTCAGTAAACAAAAATTGTTTTGTATAGCTGACACAGGATCACATCAATTGCACGAAAAAGATCAGTCTGTGGAAGGAAGGTTACAAAGTCAAACGAGGCACGTTAAGGAGGCCTAACCCATCACATTGGATGTTCTGCTGTTCTGTTTTTCGGGTCAGAAATACAGGTACTAGGACTCCCTGAATCCAGCAGGTGTTAGAACAGAGGAAGGCAGAGGGCAACCTCCTGCAAAACATCTACCCTTGCCAGTTTCTAATCCAGGGTCCAGGGGCTGGAGCATCCGGGCTCCCCGTGCTTGCGCTTGGAAGCAGAAACGCCTTCAACCCTCACTTCTCACAGGACCTCCGACCCACCTACCTGAGGCTCAGCCCCAGAGCCGGCGGGTGGACGGAGCGAGATCGCGCCCTGGAACACGGAGCTGGCGAGAAGGAGAAAAGCCCAGCTGGCGGCGTAGGGGCGAGGGTCCTGCCTTTCCCGGCGGCCTCGCCCTGGCCATCCTGGCCCTGCGGGAAGGGGTCAGCCCACCCGAGCCTCGTCCACCCCTCGTCCACCCCTCCGCCTCCCGCCCCGGCACCACGCCGCGCCCGCGTCCCCGCCCAGTGCCCGCGCCTTTGCGGGCCCCGGTCCTGCGGGGCCCCTCGCGCACTCCAGAAGCATCAGTATCCTCCGGGCGGCCACGGGCCAGCTGCGGCTCCCACCCTGGCGACCCTGGATTGCTCTCCCCATTCTCAGCCTCACCCCCCACTCCTTCCACCCCATATTTTGCCGCCTCGAAGGACATGAACCATCTGCTGGCTGAAGGCGCTTGGACCTGAAACCAGCGACAGGTTTTGGCAGCTGCACGCTCACTCCCAGGGAGGCGAGGGCGCCCGGCGAAGTGTGGGGTCTGCCGCCCCCTGCCGGCTTGGCTGACGTTCGCTTCTGTTTCCACGCTGCCCAGCAGTGTTCCAGGTGGAACATTTCAAAGGCAAGGCTGAGAATAAATGCTGTTTACAAATTCCAGAAAAGAAAAAAAAATGTTGCTCTTCTCTTTAGTAAAAGGTTTTCCCAGACAAGCCAGCACTTCTGTGGGTTGTATTTAAATCTTAAGTACATGAGAGCTGTTGCCTGCAGGCGCTGGTATTGCCCAAGGAGGGTAGTTTCAGGACAAAGTCTCTGAAAACTCCAGGCTCTTGGACGAAGCAACCTTTCCACATTATGTAGCATAATCTACCAGGTCCTGCGATTTACCCATCGTGCAAAAGGAGCAAGTCTCTTTAAAACAGGGCTTTCAGAGAGTCTTTTCAGGAGAAAAAAAATGTTGGAAGAACAGATTCGTTGCCTATTTGTTGTTGACTTTGCATCTAAACTGATCCCCTTAAAAGTATTTATGGGTATGAACGATAAATAATGAAAGGGATCAAAATAGGAATGTTTCATTTACTTTAACCTGGCCCATGCAGTGCACTTCAGGCCCTAGACTCTGGTTTGGACTCTGCGATTTCTACCTTCCTTGGCTTTGTTTGCTTCACTGATCAGAGTTCTGTGAATACAGTAGGTGCTCGATAAATGCTTATTCTGGTTATTGCCATTGATGCCTGTGGCAGTAACTGCAGACCGGCAGGCTCCGGCAGCAACGAGGCGTGGGGCTGGAGGGCCTGGCTCTGGCATCCAACCCTGCTCCATCTGACACACAAGCGGTGTGACTCTGGGGAAGCTATGAACCTCTGCGGAACTCTCTATTAGTAAGATGAGAGTGGTAGTAATAGCACCTCCCTCATAGGGTCAGAGTGAGGAATAAATGAAATAACCTGTGTAAAGAACCTAGTGTGGTGCCTAGTATTGTGTAAACTACTCAGGGGACAGGGGACTAGTATCCAGAATATACAAGGAACTCAAACATCTCCAGAGCAAAAAACCAACCCAATTAAAATATGGGCAAATGATCTGAATTATTAAAAGAAGACATTACAAATCTGCAACAAGTGTATGAAAATGTGCTCAACACCACTAATCCTCAGGGAAATGCAAATCTAAACCACAATGAGCCATTGTCTCACCCCAGTAGGATGACTATTGTCAAAAAGACAAAAAATAACACATGCTGGTGAGGACGCAGAAAAAAAGGGAATTTTTCTACACAGTTGGTGGGAATTTAAACTACTACAGTAATTCTGGAGAACACTATGGAGGTTCCTCAAAAAACTACAAATAGAAGTACCTTATGATCCAGCAATCTCACTACTGGGCATTTATCCAACAGAATGGAAATCATTGTATCAAAGAGTCTGCAGCCCCAGGTTTATTGCAGCTCTGTTCACAATAGCCAAGATAAAGAATCAACCTAGTTGTGTGACTACACATGAATGGATAAAGAAAATAAGGTATATACATACCATGGAATACTATTCAGCCATAAAAAATAATGGAATCCTATCGTTTGCAGCAACATGGATGAAACTAGAGGACAGTATGTTAAGTAAGCCAAGAACAGAAAGGTAAACACTGCGTGATTCTCACTCATAATGTTGCCATAGGTGGCTATTAAGGTATTAGCAGGGCAGAAGAGGGCTTCCCCCTACCACTGCCCCAAACACACACCAGGAGTGTTGCCAACCATTAGGTGATGGTCAGGGTGGTTATTAACTGTCTGTCTAAAGTAATAATTGGTCACAGCTGGCACCAGAGAAAAGCAGTTTCCCAAGAGATAGAAAACACCTATCATCAGCAGCTTCCCGATAAGATCTCAGGAATTGGGCGAGTGGGGAGAAGGGACCCAAGACCTCGGAAGCATACCAATGTATAAAACCCCCAAGTCCAAAGGTCAAGGCGCACACTTGCTTTTCAAGTCACCCGCTTGGCCCTATTCCAAGTGTGCTTTCCTTCCTTTCATTCCTGCTCTAAAGCTTTTTAATAAACTTTCACTCCTGCTCTAAAAACTTGCCTCAATCTTTCCTTCTGCCTCATGCCCCTCAGTCAAATTCATTCTTCTGAGGAAGTAAGAATTGAGGTTGCTGCAGACCCATACGGATTTGCCGCCGGTAACAATATGTGGCAGCTAAAAAAGTTTATCTCAAAGAAGTAAAAAGTAGAACGGAGGACAGTAGAGGCCTGGAAGGGTGGGAAAAGGGGAAATAGGGAGAGCTTGGTTAAAGTCTACAAAATTACAGCTAGATAGCAGTAATATGTTCTAGTGTTCTATACCACTGTAGGATGAATATGGCTAACAATAATATATTGTAAAGTTTCAAGCAACTAGAAAGAGCATATTGAATGTTTCCAACACAAATGAGTGATAAACTTTGAGATGATTGATGGATATGCTAACTACCCCTCTTTGATCTCTATACATTATATATATTGAAATATCTCTATGTACTCTGTGAACATGTGCAATTATTATTTGTCAATAAATTTTTTTTATCTTGATCTCATAGAATTAGAGAGTAGAATGGTGGTTACTGGAGGGTGAGGAGGGTAGTCGGGAAGAGGAGAATGGAGAGAGGTTCGTCAGTGGGTACAAAGATCCAATTAGATTGAAAGAATAAGTTCTGGTGTTCTATTACACACTAGGGTGACTATAGCTAATAATTCTGTGTTGTACATTTCAAGATAACTAGAAGAGAGGATTTGGAATCTTCTAACTAAGAAGAAAGGATAAATGTTTAAAGTGAGGGGTATGCTAATCACCCTGATTTGATCCTTACACAACGTATCCATGCATTGAAACATCACACTGTACCCCATAAATATGTACAATTATTATGTGACAATTATAAATAAAACTTCTAAAAGGAGCTTAGTACAGTGCCTAGTATATAGTGATTAACCAATCAAGTATAGCCATTATTATTTATTATTCCTTCCTCCCAGTAGTAAATTACAGTGCAATGGTTAAAAGTAATCACTTGAGGCCCAGATATTTGCATTGGAACCTGGCTCTCCCAATTTCCACTGATGTAACTATGGGCAAGCAAGTTTCAATGCTCTGATCTATAAAATGGTAATGATAATAACAGAGAAAAATCTGGTGATTGTATCATGGTATGGATAATTCATAGTGCTGTTTGTGCCTGGCACAGATCCACAAACCTACAATAAATAATAGTAGTAAAATAAAAATTCTAAGCAAGTGTATTTAGATTAACCACCAATGCTTAATTGTCCCCTGAGGTACTAATGTCTTTATCTAATTTCACCTTTCCATTTATTTGCTTATCGGAAGATTGATTCCTAGAGGAAGGCTGAATCCAGAGTGTCTGAACTCAGTGACAGCTTCCCACATGAAGGTCAAGGGCTGTCTGCAGCCCCTGGTGGAATCCAGGCTGCCAACATCAGTCCTTCCACTTAGAGCAGTTCTTGTGCAGTCTTTGATGCAAGGTAATTTTGGAAGAATTGCCTCAAGGGTGTGCAATGGTGATTACTGATTGTGGCCTGGGTAGGTGGAAAGGCTACTCACAGGGACCAAATGCAATGACCTTAGCTCCCGTAGTTGTTCATTACTGGAACTTGGTTTTCAAAGTAAGTCAAATGAAACTGAACAACGTTGGCAATAATCCATCACTGCTCGTGGGACAGGGAAGGGTTCTGGAAGGGACTGGACTGGAGAACCCCGCAGGCTTGAGGTAAGTTATGGGTTGGTGCTCCCTTGCCGATGGGATCATTCAAAACAATGTCCCTACAACTTACTGAATTAGAATGTCAGCTGGGTGGATTCTTTCTTCTCTGGCCACTCTTAAGGGACTCACGTACTGTTGGATTCAGAAAAGCGCTTTTACAAATTCAGGGAATCACCTTCCCTTACTGAGCTCCAACACTAAGAACCAGAGGACCAACGCTTTTGTGAAGGTCAAATGACCTTTGAAAAGTGGGGGCCTCTTTTTCTCCACAAATGACATTCTTTTCTTTTCCCAGGGGCCTGGGGCTCCCCAAGTTTGTGGCACACCCTGCCTTCAGTGGCTCCTCAAGGCCTTTGCGGTAAAATCCACAGTATTTAGCAAGACAGTCTCCCCTCCCCAGGCATCTAGCCCAGTCTAGTTTCCTCTCTCGCCCCTCCCACAGTGCTCCTCACCTGCTTATTCGGGTCTAACCAGGTGTCTTAATCAGCTTGGGCTGCCATCACAAAATACCATACTGGGGGGTTTAGACACAGACATTTATTTCTCACAGGTCTGGAGGCTGGAAGTCCAAGATCAAGGTGTCAGCAGATGCAGTGTATGGTGAAATCTCTCCTCTTGGCTTTTAGATGGCCTGACTCTCACTGCACCCTCACATGGCATCTCCTTTGCTTCTGTGAGGAGGGAAAGGGATGGGGTGTGTGTGTGTGTGTGTGTAGAGATGGCTCTCCTCTTCTTACTGAGGCATGAATCCCGTCATGGGAATTTCATCATGGCCTTCTGCCACATGAGGACTTAGTAATAAGGAGCCACCAGATGCTAGCATCTTGATTGAGGACCTCACAGCTGCCAGAACTGTGACACAATCCATTTTTGTCCTTTATAAATTATCCAACCTGTGACATTTTGTTACAGCAACACAAACAGACTGAGACATATGGTGTGGCTTCTCTTCCCACCCCTGTAGTGACTCCTTCTTTGCTAAATTCAGTGAGCATTTTTCAGTCCTCATCTTTGTGAAAGGATATTTTGCTAGAGTGGAGACTGGAGCTCAGATATTGCTGATGATCAGAGTTGGCGTGTCTCCCCAATTGATTTACAACTGGAGCTTGGATACTGTTTTAAACCTGGGAGGAGCCTCCTAACCATCTCGATACAACCACTGATGTGACTACACTACAGATAGACTCTTTCCACTTAATTCTACCACTCTTGCTTTACTTCATGAGAATGAAAATATAATAATGCACCATGAATTCATTTGGGGAAATATTGATATTTTATTTTTTAAAATATGTATTTATTTAAGCTACACCTACTGGAATGGGAAGGATTGATATTGTATTTTACTTTATTTTGTATTTATTTATTTTTTTTCTTTTTTGAGACAGAGTCTTGCTCTGTTGCCCAGGCTGGAGTGCAGTGGCACAATCTCAGCTCACTGCAACCTCCATCTCCTGGGTTCAAGCAATTCTCGTGCCTCAGCCTCCTGAGTAGCTGGGATGACAGGCATACATGCCACCATGCTGGGCTACTTTTTGTGCTTTTAGTAGAGATGGGGTTTTGACATGTCGGGCAGCCTGGTCTCGAACTCCTGGACTCAAGTGAATCATCCGCCTCATCCTCCCAAATTGTTGGGATTACAGATGTGAGCCACTGCACCCAGCTGGAAGGATTGATATTTTATAACATAATTTATAATTACAGAAAACATGTGAGTCCACTAGAAATTAATAGATTTTGAAGATAATAAAATAGTTTCACTTATGGGGCGGGGCGCGGTGGCTCACGCCTGTAAGCCCAGCACTTTGGGAGGCTGAGGCAGGCGGATCACAAAGTCAGGAGATCGAGACCATCCTGGCTAACATGGTGAAACCCCGTTTCTACTAAAAATACAAAAAAAAAAAAATTAGCCGGGTGCAGTGGCGGGCACCTGTAGTCCCAGCTACTCGGGAGGCTGAGGCAGGAGAATGGCCTGAACCCGGGAGGTGGAGCATGCAGTGAGCCGAGATCACACCACTGCACTCCAGCCTGGGGGACAGAGCAAGGCTCCGTCTCAAAAAAAAAAAAAAAGTTTCACTTATGTTGTAGTTTTGACATGGTTCATTATAGGATGTGGAGATGTTAACACTACCACCTAGCTTAATTTTGTCATCTAAGACCTGAAAGGGTTGTGTCTATTAGCTGCACCCCCGGTCAGCCACGTAACCTCGGGAAGGCCTCAGCCCCACTCCTCGTACGGCAGGAATGATAACAGCAATGCCTGTTGGGAAGCTTGAGGGAGGCTATGGATGTGCAGCGCTTGGCAGAAAGTCTCGTCATGGAAGGTACCAGCAAATGTGAGATACTTTTATGATTTTATTTTGTCCAAAAGAAAGGGAATGAAAGGAGAGAGGAGGAAACAAGACTAATCAGGAGATGTGAAGGTGTAGTGGTGAGGGGAGGAGTCAGCAGGAATAAAGTCAGCGTGGAGCAGCCGAGGTGGGAGATTGCTTTCACCACTTCCCAGCATCTATTGCAGATTCCACCCTCAAACATTTTGTAAGGACCCTTTATTCAAGGTAATGTTTGAACCCTGCTGAGCCAGTGGCATGGGTCTCTGAGAGAATCATTAACTTAATTTGACTATCTGGTTTGTGGGTGCGTTTACTCTCATGTAAGTCAACAACGTCCTGGGATTGGGACCCACTTTCTGGGCACTGCTGGCCAGTCCCAAAATGGAACATAAGGAAGTGGTTCTTCTACTTCTTTTATTTTTGAAATCAGGTAGAGCAAAGATTTTTTGTATAATAATTATTTTTTCTCCCACAATGTAGTAAAAATACATATGCCATGGCTTTATGTGCAATTCATTTAATTTTTGATTCATGAAATTCCCAGTTCAAAATCTTGTATCAGATTGACGATTTCTTCCAAAAATATGTTTAATTTCCTTGTGAAGACTATCAGTGTGCTGGAATGAATGGGCAGAGAAAATAATGGGTGATTTTTCAAATCTAAATGAGTGGGCCCACATGATAGCTAGTCTAGTTGAAAAAAAAATAGCCATCGTAGCTAACTATGCACAGGATAGCTACGGTCTTCGCCAGGTTCTCAGTTTGAATAATTTATATCAGTTCTGTTCAGGTGCCATGCTCCCCTCCCTTGCAAGTTGAAACAATGAAATATCTCTTTGAATGTATTCTGTTCCTTGACCAGTTCATGGAGTGGGACTCAGCATTTCTCTCTTTGTTATGGCCTGAGTAAGGCTTTCCATCAGTATACATTTGCTTCTTATCCCTGGAGAAATCACACACATCCATTTGCCAGATGACGTTGCAGATACTGACTCAGCAAATACTCAGTGCTTGGGTTAGGCCCCCACATTGTTATACATACATATATGCGTGCGTACATACATACACACCTGTGAGTGTGTGTCCCGTACAAATACTAGCTTATTTATCTTGTGGTATAGGTAGGGTAGTATATTCATCCCCATTTTATACACAAGGAAATCTGGACATAGAAAATCATGTTATTTGCCCAGTGACCAAACTCCCAAATCAAGGAAATAAAGGAACCTGGATTGAAGCCAGATTTCCAAGAAAAAATTTAGGACTCTTCTCACTTTTTCAACTATGTTCCAACCTTTGAAAAATAATCTAAACACATCCCAGTGTAACTGAAGAGCAGGTTAGTTGTTTGCCACTTGCAGAATCCAATTAAGAAGAGAGAAGTCGGCTGGGCGCTGTGGCTCACGCCTGTAATCCCAGTACTTTGGGAGGCCGAGGCGGGCAGATCACGAGGTCAGGAGATCGAGACCATCCTGGCTAACACGGTGAAACCCCATCTCTACTAAAAATACAAAAAATTAGCCAGGCGTGTTGGTGGGCGCCTGTAGTCCCAGCTACTCGGGAGGCTGAGGCAGGAGAATGGCGTGAACCCCGGGGGGACGAAGCCTGCAGTGAGCCAAGATCACGCCACTGCACTCCAGCCTGGGCGACAGCAAGACTCCGTCTCAAAAAAAAAAAAAAAAAAGAAGAGAGAAGTCTGGTATAAAGAAAGTGATTTACTTCCAACGCTAGCTTAGGGGAAGAAATTCAGGAGTCCTCTTGCACCACTTCACTTCTGGAGCAGAAAGTGGCACTTTTAAAAGGCAGGGGATGAAGTGAACAAGGGTGCAGGGGTCCAGGCTTCAGAGTCTTATCTGTCAGCTGGTCGAGCTGGTGACTGCTGGTGCCTTTGTGAGCAGGCTGTTGTCTCTTGAGGCAACTCCCTGGAGGGTGAGAGTTCTGTAGTGGGTATGCTTTGGTTTATAGATGGAATGTGAACTCAGGAGTTCCATCTTAAAGCACATGGTTAGATGAACTTGCCCTGAAGGCAGACTCTGATGAAGGGGAAGTAAAAGGCCATATTTGTATTTCTAAAGGGCTAAGTAGGAAATGGGGAACTAGGAGAATGAGGAAAAAAGAGAAAAAAAATAATGAAGCTATCTTAGAAAAATGGAGGTCCCCGATCATACTAGTAGGTTCTCTTAAACAGCTTTATTGAGATGTCATTCACCCATTTAAGGCATGCAATCCAATGGATGCAAATATATTGAGAGTTGTACAGCCATCCTCACAATACATTTTAAAATGTTTTCATACCCCAAAAGGCACTCCACTCTCACTGGCTGTTGACTCTCCTCTGCAGCTTCTGGCAACCACAAATCTACTTTCTGTTTTTATAGACTTGCCTATTTTGGACACTTCATATAAATGAAGTGTCCAAACAGTTCTTCATATAAACAATGTCCAGATACTTGCAATTTAATCTAATTACCAGATACAATTTTACAAGTTGACTTTAGAGTCAAATACATTTGAATTCTGTGGAAGCCATTCAAGAAAATATCAAAGAAAACACAGAGCAGGAGAAGATTCAGCGAAGAGATTTTTGGGGGAAATTGGTGTCCGTGTGTGTGTGGATGTGGGCAGGGGGTATGAATATTCTATTTCAGCCCATGGAAACTAGCACGTGGATCACTGTGAACTTATTCAGCGGGCTACACCCAAAGGCTAGATCAAACTTCTCTGCCACAGGATTAACATATGTTTTAACCAACCTGGGGGGCACATTCTCTCATAAGCTCTTTTGGAAAGTCAGGCTTTCTGTGGACGTGTTATCTTTCCAGTGTGCTGCAATGCCTGGGGAGAGGAAAATGTTTCTTTTACAGCCATGCTCAGTGAGAAGCGGAGAAACATCTTCCATTTCACAAATTACTAAGCTTTTACACATGCAAATATGCATACATATTCACACACCACAGTGAGGAAGAAATTCTCACACCATTAATAAAATACAGTTACTTCTGTAGCAATATACATCTACATTTGCCTATAATATAAAAATGTTTTTTCTACTGAAAGATTTGTTTAATGTTTCTTCACCAGCAAATAAACCCTAATACATCTCATTGCCATATGAGCCCTGGAGGTGAATAAGAGAAAATAATCCTTGGGGGAAAATTATCAAATTAAAAAGAGGAAAATTTGATTCTGTTTTGGGATATTTCCTAAGGATGTGAGCTGGGGAGGCGATCTCAGCAGTGATGCGCTGTGAAGCATAGTAACATGACACAGTTACAGGTAACTTAAAGGTGGAAACAAATGGAAGTTTCTCTTTTGGAATATCAATTGTAGCCTGCTCTGCTACATTTCAAAAAAACATCTTCAGAAAGTTTAACTTAACTCACCGTAAGACAAACTTTATGGATTTATTGCGTGTTTTGAAGTTATACTCTGAGCTATAGAATTGAACAAAGCACAACTCTTCTTGGAAATGAAAATTCAAATGGGAAGAAAATGCAGGTTGAAGACATGGATATGGGCCTAAAATATCGATTTCTCTATGATCTTTTGATACATCTCTCAAGTGCTTTTTAGTGGATTAGGTTTAGAATGCATCAGCCAACTCCTGCTCAATAATCCATTTTTGCTCGCAGCCGAGGATTCCTCCTAAGCTGTGTCCCATCTGTGCGGGACCCCACTGGAAGTTGGACTGTCCAACTGGCCCAAGGCTCTGATTGACTCCTTCCCAGATCTCGGCTTAGCGGCTGAAGACCGACACTGCCTGATTGCCTCGGAAGCCTCCTGGACCATCACAGATGCTTTGGGTAACTCTTACAATGGAGGGTAAGTCCGTCCCCTTCTTAATCAATACGGAGGCTACCCACTCCACATTACCTTCTTTTCAAGGGCCTGTTTCCCTTGCCTCCATAACTGTTATGGGTATTGATGGCCAGGTTTCTAAACCTCTTAAAACTCCCCAACTCTGGTGCCAACTTGGACAACATTCTTTTATGCACTCCTTTTTAGTTATCCCCACCTACCTAACTCCCTTATTAGGTCGAGACATTTTAACTAAATTATCTGCTTCCCTGACTATTCCTGGGCTATAGCCATGCCTCATTGCCACCTTTTCCCCCAGTTCAAAGCCTCCTTCACATCGTCTCCTTGTATCTCCCCACCTTAATCCACAAGTATAGGACACCTCTACTCCCTCCTTGGTGACAGATGATGCACCCCTTACCAGCCCATTAAAACCTAATCACCCTTAACCCGCTCAATGCCAACATCCCATCCCACAGCGCGCTTTAAAAGGATTAAAGCCTGTTATCACTTGCCTGTTACAGCATGGGCTTTTAAAGCCTATAAACTCTGCTTACAATTCCCCCATTTTACGTGTTCTAAAACCAGACAAGGCTTACAGGTTAGTTCAGAATCTGCCCTTTATCAACCAAATTGTCTTGCCTATCCACCCCGTGGTGCCAAACCCATGTACTCTCCTGTCCTCAATACCTTCCTCCACAACTCACTATTCTGTTCTTGATCTTAAAAATGCTTTTTTCACTATTCCCCTGCACCCCTCATCCCAGCCTCCCTTTGCTTTCACTTGGACTGACCCTGACACCCATCAGGCTCAGCAAATTACCTGGGCTGTACTGCCACAAGGCTTCACAGACAGCCCCCATTACTTCAGTCAAGCCCAAATTTCTTCTCCATCCGTTACCTACCTCAGCATAATTCTTCACAAAAACACACGTGCTCTCCCTGCCGATCATGTCCGACTGATCTCTCACCCCAACACCTTCTACAAAACAACAACTCCTTTCCTTCCTAGGCATGGTTGGATACTATCACCTTTGGATACCTGGTTTTGCCATCCTAACAAAACCATTATATAAACTCACAAAAGGAAACCTAGCTGACCCCATAGATCCTAAATCCTTTCCCCACTCCTCTTTCCATTCCTTGAAGACAGCTTTAGAGACTGCTCCCACACTAGCTCTCCCTGACTCATCCCAACCCTTTTCATTACACACAGCCAAAGTGCAGGGCTGTGCAATCGGAATTCTTACACAAGGACCGGGACCGTGCCCTGTAGCCTTTTTATCCAAACAATTTGACCTTACCATTTTAGCCTAGCGCTCATGTCTGCATGTGGGGACTGCCACTGCCTTAATACTTTTAGAGGCCCTCAAAATCACAAACTGTGCTCAACCCACTCTCTACAGTTCTCATAACTTCCAAAATCTATTTTCTTCCTCACACCTGACACGTATACTTTCTGCTCCCCGGCTCCTTCAGCTGTACTCACTCTTTGTCGAGTCTCCCACAGTTACCATTGTTCCTGGCCTGGACTTCAATCCGGCCTCCCACATTATTCCAGATACCACACCTGACCCCCATGACTGTATCTGATCCATGTGACATTCACCCCATTTCCCCATATTTCCTTCTTTCCTGTTCCTCACCCTGATCACACTTGGTTTATCAATGGCAGTTCCACCAGGCCTAATCGCCACTCACCAGCAAAGGCAGGCTATGCTATAGTATCTTCCACATCTATCACTAAGGCTACCGCTCTGCGCCCTCCACTACATCTATCATTGAGGCTACTGCTCTGCCCCTTCCACTACCTCTCAGCAAGCTGAACTCATTGCTTTAACTCAGGCCCTCGCTCTTGCAAAGGGACTACACGTCAATATTTATACCGACTCTAAATATGCCTTCCATATCCTGCACCATCATGCTGTTATATGGGCAGAAAGAAATTTCCTCACTATGGAAGGGTCCTCCATCATTAATGCCTCTTTAATAAAAACTCTTCTCAAAGAGCTTTACTTACAAAGGAAGCTGGAGTCATTCACTGCAAGGGCCATCAAAAGGCATCAAATTCCATCACTCAGGACAATGTTTATGCTGATAAGGTAACTAAAAAGGCAGCTAGCATTCCAACTTCTATCCCTCACGGCAGTTTTTCTCCTTCTCATCTGGCCACTCCCTCACTGACTCTTCCACCTGTCAATCCCTTCCCACACAAGGCAAATGGTTCTTGGACCAAGAAAAATATCTCCTTCCAGCCTCACAGGCCCATTCTATTCTGTCATTTCATAACCTCTTCCATGTAGGTTATAAGCTGCTAGCCCACCTCTTGGAACCTCTCATTTCCTTTCCATCCTGGAAATCTATCCTTAAGGAAATCACTTCTCAGTGCTCCATCTGCTACTCTACTACACCTCAGCCACCCCCGCCTCCCCCCCCCACCCCGCTTCCCTATACATCAAGCTTGGGGATTTGCCCCTGTCCAGGACTGGCAAATTGACTTTACTCACATGCCCCAAGTCAGGAAACTAAAATACCTCTTGGTCTGGGTAGACACTTTCACTGGATGGGTAGAGGCCTTTCCCACAGGGTCTGAGAAGGCCACCGTGGTCATTTCTTCCCTTTTGTCAGACATAATTCCTCAGTTTGGCCTTCCCATCTCTATACAGTCCGATAACGGACTGGCCTTTATTAGTCAAATCACCCAGTTTCTCAGGCTCTTTGTATTCAGTGAAATCTTCATACCCCTTATCGTCCTCAATCTTCAGGAAAAGTAAACGGACTAATGGTTTTTTAAAAACACCTCACCAAGCTCAGCCTCCAACTTAAAAAGGAGGACTCTGTCAAGGATAGAGCCCAAAAACTTGCCAACCAAGCAAGTAATTACGCTGTACGCCCTTGGGCACTCTCTAATTGGATGTCTTGGATCCTCCCAATTCTTAGTTCTTTAATACCTATTTTTCTCCTTCTTTTATTCAGACCTTGTATCATCCGTTTAGTTTCTCAATTCATCCAAAACCATATCCAGGCCATCACCAATCATTCTATATGACAAATGCTCCTTCTAACAAGCCCACAATATCACTGCTTACCATAAAATCTTCCTTCAACTTAATCTCTCCCACTCTAGGTTCCCACATCACTCCTAATCCCACTCAAAGCAGCCCTAAGAAACATTGCCCATTATCTCTCCATACCACCCCCAAAAATTTTCACCGCCCCAACACTTTACCACTATTTTGTTTTCTTTTTCTTATTGATATAAGAAGACAGGAATGTCAGGCCTCTGAGCCCAAGCTAAGCCATCATATCCCCTGTGACCTGCACGTATACATCCAGATGGCCTGAAATAACTGAAGAATCACAAAAGAAGTGAAAATGGCCTGTTCATGCCTTAACTGATGACACAACCTTGTGAAATTCCTTCTCCTGGCTCATCCTGGCTCAAAAGCTCCCAGCTGAGGCCCCCTTGGCCGCACGCTACCACAACCAGACAGAAAGCAGCTTTTGGACAGATTTGATTTCATAGAAAAATCAAGGCCAGTATTTAGCCCAGGCTGTTCTTTTTTACAATGTCCTCTGAAATTCAGATGCCTGTCAACATCATGGACAGACATATTTCTCCCCACTTAATAGTGGTGTGTCACTGTAGTAAACCCAATACAAAAATTGCCCTTTTTGTAGGGGAGCTTTTTACCCTCCAGTGTTTTGCTTAATTTTTGTGCAAGATGGCAACATACTTTAGTTCAGTTCTGATTTATTCCCAACATCATCAGTGCACCAAATTTTTTGTATCTCAAGGAGGGACCATTTAGAGGATGCTTATCACCAGTTAAAGTGACAGTGTCACAACCAAAGCGCATATTGTAAGAAATCAAATAATGGCCTCCAAGTTCCATTTCTACTCAGGGATGAACAAATCAACATCAATCTTTGGAACACAGTTGCCACTGATGGTGCCTTACTCTTCTATCATGACATGGCAATCAAGAGCAAACACAAAATTTATTCTTATTTTAGGTTTTATGGTTAGAATAGGAAGACAGCTAGACATGAGCAGGAGGGGGAAGCCCCTGAGAAAAGGGAAGTGTGGAAAATCTCACACCCCAGAAATTGCCTGAGTCCTGCATGCGAGATATGAGCAGAGGAGGGGGAATACTTAGGCAGAGAGGAATGCCCCTTAACACGCCCAGCAATCGCTCACTCAGTAGTTAACTTTTCCAAGTGTCACGAGGTACATGCTGATAGGGAGGGAAGAGGGCAAAGGAAGAATTCCTAAGAGATACACAAGTGCAGTTAGTACAGATCTGAGTGCTATGCAACCTTCCTGGGGTAGCAGCAATGAGCAATGCAGCCGGTAGGTAGAATTCATATCTGATATGGTTTAGCTGTGTCCCCACTCAAATCTCATCTTGAATTATAGCTCCCATAATTCCCAAGTGTTGTGGAAGGGACCCAGTGGGAGATAATTGAATCATGGGGGCAGTTTCCCCCATACTGTTCTCATGGTAGTAAATAATTCTCATGAGATCTGATGGTTTTATAACAGGAAACCTCTTAGGCTTGACTCACATTCTGTCTTGTCTGCCAACATGTAAGACATGCATTTGGCCTTCCACCATGATTAGGAGGCCTCCTCAGTCACGTGGAACTGTGAGTCCACTTAACCTCTTTTTCTTTATAAATTACCCAGTTTTGGGTACGTCTTTATCAGGAGAATGAAAACGGACTAAAACAGTATCCAACACCAGGACGATGCATGCACATCAACTAATACTAAGGGAAGATCCCACAAGCCTAGAGTGGGGACTAGGCTGGGAAAAGGCTAGGACTTAAGGCAGGAGCAAGAAATCTAGACAAGGAAAAAAGGCAGAGACTTAAGACAGAGGTGGGAACTTCAGGAAAGAGTTTGATGTCATAGCAACTCAATGCAGAACTCTTGGAAAGCTGTTGACTCTCTCCCTTTCAACAGCCTGCTCTGCCTTATCTTTCAGAGCATACTGTCTCTCTGTGTAAATTCTCTGCTCTCTATCTTCCTTCCATAAATTGTCTTTTTTGGCTAAATTAGTCACTTAGCAGAATTCTTTCTCCGAAGTAAGACAAAGATCTGAGGATTCTTCCACTTCCAGATAACACTGTATTCATTAATATAGTAACACAGGAGTGGTGACATCATTCTAACCTGTTTATCAATCTAGTTAATCTTTTAATATATTGAAATCTGTGAATGGAAAAGTTTTTTATATAATTTCAACTTTTGAGATTTGGAGGTACATAAGCAGGTTTGTTACATGAGTAAATTAGCCTCTTTTGGCCTCTCACCCTGTGAAGATTGCGTGACACTGAGGTTTGAGGCACAAATGATCTCATTACCCAGCTAGTGAGCTTCATACCCCACAGGTAGTTTTTCAGCCCCTGCCTTCCTCCCTCTCTCCCGGCTCTAGTAGTTGCCAGTGTGTCTTTTGTTGCCATCTTTACGTCCATGTTTTGAAGTGTTTTCTTCATTAAATATCTTGATTCATAGCTATGCATTCTGCTTCCAGTAAAGCAGAAAGTTTTATTTGACTAATATGAACCAAATAGATAAAAAAAGAACTCATGACAATCAGACTTGGTTAACTGACCATTTGATTAACTGAGCATTTGTTCCATTTGGATCTCCCACCTCTGGGTCAAGGAGAGCCTCTGGATGACTATGTGAATACCCAGGGGGCTTCGTGTTCAGTGTCACTAAGAAGGAGCTGGGGGCAGGAAGTATAGAAGAATGTGCAGCAAAATGTGAGGAGGACAAAGAATTCACCTGCAGGTATTTCCATTGTCGTTGCACCTACACAGGAATCTGTAATTCAGATGGCAAGTTATTTATTCACAAATTTATTAATGATTTAAGAGAAAAGAGGAATTTATAGAGTCAGGGTTTGGAACTATATTTGCTCACAGTATCTGAAGCCACACTAACAGCTTCTCATTAAGTTTTATTGGAGTCCCCTTTAGAAAAATACCCCAAAAGGAAGTTATTTATTTTTACACCGGACATAAACATTAGCAGCTATTGTTCTTTGCTCTAGTTTTTAACATCATGATTATCAGTAAATGTTTGTTGAGGATCATGTGAATGAAAGTGTCCTAGATAGATCTGAGCAATGACTTATAGCTGCAAGATCCAGTGCCTGCCCTTTAGTATTTAAGGTGTAGTCAAAGAAACTGGACATAATGTTTAAAAAAAAAAAAAAAAAAAAAAAAAGCCCAAGTGAGGTACTGCGAAGTGGCATAATCAATGCATGCTCTACCCAGATCCAGAGGAAAGAACAGTGCCTAAGGTTGAGGCAGCTAGAGGAGGCTCAGGGAGGAGGCAGGAACTGAGCTGGGTTTGGAGTTGAGAGAGCTCTTGACAAGCACCAGGAAGGCGGGGGATGGTGTGGCCCTGCACCCTCTGATGGGGACCATTAAGAGATCGAGTTGGCTGAAGCATAGGCTTTGTGTAAGTGATGGGCCTGGGAAGGTAGCTATGGACGCCAGACTGAGCACCCACGGCAGGACCATGTGGATGGGGACGGGAGGGGTCAGGGGCCAGGGCAGGGTGGAATGTGGAGCAGAGGTTCAGGGGAAGTGATCAGAGTCGGGAGGTCATGGAGACGAGCCTCCCAGAACTGGGAGACAATAAACTTATGTCATTGAAGCCATGCAGTTTATGACCCTCTGTTATTGCTGCCCTAGCAAATGGATACAGGTAGCCATTTAGATTGTCTGCTGAGCCCACTAATGTCTGCTGAGCCCACTAACTAATGATTTGATAAATATATACTCATGTCTGCCTCTCTGGGGATTTGTGATAGTTTTTTTGAGTTATATGTCATAAAATAGGATAGCTGCATCATCTGGTATACATATGATCAAACTCACTAAATAATGACAGATTTCTCTTCAGAATCACTCTATCAATTTACGCTTCCTCCATAGTGCAGGGCTATTGTCCATTCCCCAGCTTCCTGAGCATTTTCAGATTTGTCAGACTTTTGTCACGTGCTTTTAGTATGCCCTGCATTTCCCCTGTCTGGAAATTACATATTCCAGACAATGAATATTCTATTCATAACAATGAGTTTTTCTAATTGAAGTGTAGGATGATTCTCTTAATAATCAGAAGCTGTGCCATAAGTACTTTCTCCCACTGTTTGCTCTTTTTAATCTTTTATGCTGTTCTTTGATAAATGGAAACTTTCATTATTCTTTGATAAATGGACACTTTTATTAATATTTTCCTTCAGAAAAAATGCATTAATCTTTTCCTTTATGGCCTATCAATAGAAATATATAGCTTAGGAATTATCTTCCTATTCTGAAATCATAGAGCTAACCCCACCAAATCTTCTTCAAAATGTTTAAGATATGCTTTACACATTCAAGTCTCTGATTCACATAGAATTTTTCTGTATGGTGTGAAATAAGGACAACATTTGTTTCCCATGCTTCAGAAATATTTATTGTCTGATCCATTTTTCCCATTAGGGTGCAGTGCCAGGGCCATGATACATCATATTTTCATGGATTCATATTTCCATTGGCATTTATAGTTGGCATTTAAAGTTGATAATTCCAACTTTTATAACCACAAAACATGACTTTGAAGAAAGGTATATAACTTTATATTGTCACCATATATGCTAGAATTGCAATGTGTAGAACAACTACTATTAGAGAATATTGTCAGTTATAAACTTGTCACATAAATATATAAATATTATAGCTTAAATTTTTCCAGAGTATCTGTCTTTTGGTCTTGTTTCACAGACCCTGTCTTCAGCAAACATGTGTATCAGACAACTCACCAAATAATAATTTATATTTTGATTATTTTGCCAAATGTAGGTGCTACAAAATTCAAAGATTTTTTATATTCCTTCAATTTTGATACAGGATATAAATTGATTTAATTAAATGTAGGAACACTATAAGGTGATTATTCTCACAAGTTAAGATATTCCACATCACAAGTATGAATTTCAATATTGAAATTTGTACATCATATTTTTAGATACTCAATATTACAGAATTTATAAAATGTTGCTTAATGTATATGGATTTATTAATTTTTTGAAAAAATGATTTTAAAATTTGGTTTTCATAAAAATATTTTATAGGCCCACCAATATAATAAAACTAATTTTTTTGATCAGCAAATAAATATGTTGTTAAATTATATCATTTAAATTATTCTTTAAAGCCTCCTTTCACTCTCTAGAGTACCCTAATTGGATAATAAATTATATAGTCAGCTTATGTGTTCCCAAACTCAAAAAAAAAGTGCAACAGTGAACATATGGCAGTGGGATCCATCCATTTACCAGATCAACCAAAACCTCTCTGCCTGTAAGACTGGTCTCTTTTTTAAAAAATAAAAAATTAAAAAACTAAAAAGCTATGGTGTTGGTCTGGGGATGACACCTTCCAAAGTTTTGGCTCTGCCCTCAGAGGTGCATTTGGCTCTGTCCTCAAAGGTGCATTTTCATACTTTGATGTGTCTGTCCTACTGAGAAAGTTTATCAACTCTACCTCACAGAACTGAGAACAAATGCTGAGAGAGCTAGTGTTTTACCAAGATGAACTTAACCAAACAAAGAGATAGAAACCAAATGCAAAGCCAAGAGCCTTACATATAGATAAAAATGGAGGAATGAGAAAATAGCATTTATCCAAGAATCATGAGTTAATCGTCTTACCAGGCTTTAATCAATTTAATAATCAATATAATATTACATGCATAGTTCTTCAAAAATGTCAAGGAAAACTCTTTCCCATGGATTTTAACTGCTTGAATTCAGAGCATAGAAAACAGAAGAAAACTTGAGTGTAATATTAATAAAGACCCTTTAAAAAAGATGTTATATAAAAAGAAAAATCGCAAGCCAGTGAAAAATACATGCAAAATTCTAAATAACATTTTAGCAAACAAAATCTATGTTTAAAAGCATAACACACAAAAAAGTGAGATTTTTCCCTAGTATGTAACAGTAGTCAGACATTTTATCAAGACATTTACAAATAAGCCTAAAAATAGATGTCTGAGTGCTATTTATGAAATTCAAGATCTATTCCTCCCATCCAAGCACTAACCAGGCCAACCCTGCTTAGCTTCCGAGATCAGACAAGATCGGGCGTGTTCAGGGTGGTATGGCCGTACTCAAGAGCTATTCCTAATGAACTAAAAAGTGTCATAAAATAAGAATACAAGATTATCACTGAAAAGAAGTTCACAATTTCATGCACACACATAAAAAAGTTATAGGCCCAAAGCAATATAAACATGAGAGCCTAGGGGAGGTTAACAGCATCCAGTCTGGAGCCAGAGAACTTGAGGGTTATTCTGAGTTTCTCATTTCTCTGTGATCTTGAGCAAGTTATGGGATTCTCTTTGCCTCAAGTCTTTATGTTGTTAAATCAAGTTTAGACTAAAGCTGGCTTTTTACATATTTTAAGTTCAGCCTAAACGTTTCTCTGTACATAGTGAACTATAACCTCAATGAAGATGTAAACAGACTGAAGCCTATTTTTATGCCAATCACCAAGTTTTAGCCAATCAAGGGCTAACTGTTCAAACCATGTTCAAGTTCAAATAAGGCAAATGCCCGCTTAGCTGCAACCAATTTGGTTGTTTCTGTACCTCACACCTGTTTTCTGCATGTCATTTTCCTTTTTTTCTGTCCATAAATCTTCTACCAGGTGGCTGTGCTGGAGTCTCTGAGCCTACTCTGGCTCAGGAGGCTGCCTGATTCACAAATCATTCTTTGCTAAATTAAACTCTTATATTTAATTCAGTTGAAGTTTTTTCATTTAATAGATGGCATCAGAAGTGGGATCCAAAGTAGATCCTCTAATGACCCCATGAGTGCTGAGTGACTAAGCAAGGTACCCACTGGACCCATCAAGGACTAAACTCTGATATTTTTTATCTCGCTCAAATTCCTATCTAAGGGGCCTAGGGAGTCATGCTCTACAAACCATAAATTCTCATCAGATGGGGTTTATTTAACTCTGTATATCGTGACTTACTTTCCAATCTGACTCTGGCACAACAAGGAAGAAAATCAAAATATTTTACTCCAAAACATGTTTCTCTGCCATATCTTGAAATGGCCCTGCAAAGCTGTCCCTCATGGAAAAAAATTCACATTCTGCAGAGAATCCCCTTCCCACCGCCCCTCCACTGCCTTTTTTTTTTTTCCCCCTTCCTTCCTTTCCAGATCCAGGGAATAATCAACTAAGAGCCAGGCATCCTTTTAGGTCTGATAAGAAACATTTCACAACCTGCTCTCTCTGAAGTCGGCTATCCGAGACCTCCCTCTGCCCAATAAAACTTGGTCTCCACAATCCTTTACTTTTTTTTTTTTTTGAGACGGAGTTTTGCTCTTGTTGCCCAGACTGAAGAGCAATGGCACCATCTCGCCTCACTGCAACCTTCGCCTCCCAGGTTCAAGCAATTCTCCTGCCTCAGCTTCCCAAGTAGCTGGGAGTACAGGTATGTGTCACCAGGCCCAGCTAGTTTTGTATTTTCAGTAGAGATGGGGGTTCACCATGTTGGTCAGGATAGTGTCGAACTCCTGACCTCAGGTGATCCACCCGCCTCAGCTTCCCAAAGTGCTGGGATTACAGGTGTGAGCCACTGCACCTGGCCACACAATCCTTTATCTTAGCCTAAACATTTCCTTTCTATTTGTAAAAAAGTAAAGTAGAGGTTCCTCTTCAAAGACTTTCCTCCCCGCCTAATTAGAAATAAATAGTAACTTCTCTTAGAAGCAAAATTTATTCAAAGAACTGTACTAACATTCTTAAATATCTGCTAGCCGTAATAAAGAAATCAATGTACTTTGTGTTCTTAGCTCCCACAATTTAGACTAAATATTTGCCCTGACATGCTTATACTGATCCAAGCAAGCATTAGGTCATAGCCAGTTCCTCTTCCTTATTTAAAAGTATTTTTACCTTTCTCAGCATTCCACAAGTTACTTCCTCCTTCCTTTGTTTTCCTCTACCTTTGCCTCTTTTAAAAAGTTCTAAGTTGTTAGCCAATCGGGACAAATACAGAATGTGAGGTCCCATTCCAGCCAATAGAAACCAGACACAGCAGTAGGGTGGACATGTCAGGTTATAAATGACCCTGTCTCCTTTGTTTGGTGAACTCTCATGGCAAAACTGCTGGTGAGTGTACCCTTTCTGCAGGAAGTAAAAATGGCCTTACTAAATAAATTTATGTTCAAGTGCTATTTCTTTATGGCACTGGGGAACAAGCATTTCAAACAATTTGGTGTCAATCCGTACAGGGATACATTCTCCTCTAGGGGTGGTCTCCAGTCCTCTCTCATGAGGGAGCATGCTCCCCTACCTCATTGAAGGTGCCTCAGGGATGAGAAATTGAGACCCACCCAGTGTGGTGAATAAACCCGGACTCTCAGCAATGCAAAAAAATAAAAAAGAAACTGGCCAGCAATCTAGCTTAAAGGATCTTCACATACTGCAGCGACAACTCTGTGCACAGACCAAGGAAGGAGAAGCCGCAGGAGCTGGTAAAGTATTTCCTTGATGGTCAGATGGTAAAGCATTCCTTGGTTAGGACATACCAAGGAGAGAGAAACTGCAGGGGTGGTAAAGTATTCCTTAGTCAGGATGTCTTGGAGGTTAGAAAGAGGTGAGAAATCCCCATGAGGGGGGTTAAACCTCAGAGAGAGGTGAGAAATACCCAGGGTGGGGGTTGAACCTCAGAAAGAGGTGAGAAAGCCCTGGGGAGGGGGGCGGGGGTTGAACCTCAGAAAAGGTGAGAAATCCCCGGGGGGTGGGGGTTGAATCTCAGAAAGAGGTGAGAAATCCCCGGGGGCGGGGGGGGGGGTTAAACCTCAGAAAGAGGTGAGAAATCCCTGGTACGGGGGTTAAACCTCAGAAAGAGGTGAGAAATCCCTAGGGGGAGTTGAACCTCAGAAACAGGTGAGAAATCCCCAGAGGGTGTTGAACCTCAGAAACATGTGAGAAATCCCTGGGGGTTGGAGGTTGAACCTCAGAAAGAGGTGAGAAATCCCCGGGGCGGGGGTTAAACCTCCGAAAGAGGTGAGAAATCCCCAGGGTGGGGGTTAAACCTCAGAAAGAGGTGAGAAATCCCCATGAGGGGAGTTGAACCTCAGAAACAGGTGAGAAATCCCCGGGGGTGGGGGTGAACCTCAGAAATAGGTGAGAAATCCCCAGGGGGAGTTAAACCTCAGAAAGAGATGAGAAATCCCCAGCAGGGGTTGAACCTCAGAAAGAAGTGAGAAATCCCTAGTGGGGTTGAACCTCAGAAAGAGGTGAAAAATCCCCAGGTTAGGGGGGTGGTTGAACCTCAGAAAGTGGTGAGAAATCCTGGGGGTGGGGGTTAAACCTCAGAAAGAGGTGAGAAATCCCCGGGCAGGGGGTTGGTTGAACCTCAGAAAGAGGTGAGAAATCCCTGGGCAGCGGGGTGGTTGAACCTCAGAAAGAGGTGAGAAATCCCCATGAGGGGAGTTGAACCTCAGAAAGAGGTGAGAAATCCCCAGGTTGGGGGTTGAACCTCAGAAAGAGGTGAGAAATCCCCATGAGGGGGGGTTGAACCTCAGAAAGAGGTGAGAAATCCCTGGGCAGCGGGGTGGTTGAACCTCAGGAAGAGGTGAGAAATCCCCATGAGGGGAGTTGAACCTCAGAAAGAGGTGAGAAATCCCCAGAGGGGGAGTTGAACCTCAGAAAGAGGTGAGAAATCCCCACGAGGGGGCGTCGAACCTCACACAAAACTCCTGTAGTAAGAAAAATATTCAGAAGCCCCCTTTCCTTTCTTCTTGGGTTAAGAAAGAGTAGCTCCACTCCCACCAGTCCTTCCCCTAGGGGAAGGGGAAGGGGAAGGAAAGGGGAAAACAGCAGCATAGGTGGCTGGCAGAGACAAAGGAAAGACCAGCAGAGAAGAAAAAGAAACTAGGAGAGGAAGTCAGAGAGAAAGAAAGCAAAAACAGCAAGCACAGAGCCAAACAGCCAGGCAGGCACACCAAGGGTTAAGTATCTCTCCCCAGCCCAGCTCTATGTGAAAAAGATGGTGGGGACAGGCACCTGGAGGAGAGCAGAGGAGGTGAATGGGCATAATTCTTGCAATTTGCACCCAGCACGAGAAACTAAGTGTAAGAAGAAAGGAAAGAAAGTAAAAAGGGGAATTGGGAAAAAAAAAAGAGAGAGAGAAACAGAAGGCAGTGTGTGCACGGGGGCAGGGCCCATAGAAATTGGGAGAAGAAAGGGAAACGGGATGACAGAGAGAGAGAGGAAAATAGAGTGCAAATGAGAGAGAGAGAAATAGAGGGAAAGAGTAAGTAAGAGAGAAACCAGAAGAGACAGAAATCAAAGAAAGACACAGAGGGTGAAACTAGGAAAAGAAATAGTGTAAAAAGAATGCAGAAAGTTAAGACATGTTGAAGATTGTCTGTGAAAGTCATAAGAAAAACTATAAAAGGGAATTTATGCAAGAAATATTGTATAATTTAAAAGTAATTACACCTCCTGAATATAAATTATTAAAAAATAGTTTATGTACAAGGTATGTAAGAAAAATAAAATATACTTTTAATAACAGGATTATAAGGAGGCATAAGAATATGGATTTTTACCTACATTAAAGTTTAAAAAAAATTTTGTTTTAAAGGTTTAAGCAAGTTTTAAAATGTTAATTGTAAAGGAAATTCTGTGTGTAAACATATTGGCTAAAGTTAAATGGGTATCATCCAGTTTTTCTGTGAACTGGACATTAAAATAAAAGCACAATATATTTTTCTTAAAGCACTAAACTGCTCTTTAACAAAAATTACAAAAAGTTAAAAAAAGTCTATAAAAGTTTTACCTTATAGTCAGACATTAAAACTGGATAATGTCTACAAGATTTTATTATAATTAAGTTTAACATTAATAGCACATTAATATAAAGGTAAAATTTAACTTATCTAGTATAAAATCATACAAAAACATTGCCAAACATAAAATGGTGTTTAGCTTTCTTAAGGCCTGAAGGCAGCCAGGTAAGTCACAAGGCCCCTCATCCCCAAGGCCACAATGCGCAGGGGCGGTAAAGGCCACAAGAAGGCCAAGACATTAAGACGGGGCAGGGCCACAGAGTCCCCTGGGTGGTGCTGAGCAGGAATGGAGCAGTAGGCATCACCATGAGGCCTCAAGCCCCAGTATATGCAGCAGAAATTATATACTTAATTTATCTTCCACTTTCCCTTCCCTCGAAACTAGAAGTCTTTCAGCACAGGTACCACCCCTAGAATTTCCCGTACATCAGCACCAGCCTGCAAACCACGTCCTCATCAAAAGCTAGAAAGAAGAAACTCAAGCCAGCCTGGGAAGAACCCTATTTTATGCTGTTAACCACTGAGACTGCCATCTGCACAGCTGAGAAAAAAAAAAAATTGGACCCACCATACTCAAGTCAAGAAAACATCTTCCTCTCAGAATCATGGGTTACTGTACTAAGATCAAGCCCTACTAAGTTAACGTTAAAGAAAGATTAATTTTCATATACGTTCTATATTTCTTCCTTTCCTTTCCTTATTCTGTTACTAGCTCCTTTATTAATAATATAACTAAGTCTGACTCACCTAAGTCTGACTCACCTATTGCCTTTAATACTTGCTCTGTCATACCTTGAGGAAATGTAAAAGATCAACAACAACTAGCCTTTTCACACAAATATTTATGCCCCAGCACTCTAGTTGACACAGTTACCCCTAGCACTCATTGTTGTAATGACCTGCAGCCAAGACGCTGATCTTCTGCTCCTACCGCCTGGCAACCTTGTAGTAAATGGGACTACATCCCTTAAACTACCCAGGAGCAAAGCTGGATTTCCACGAAAAGGTTTCTGCAGATCTAAAACCCCTCATCTATTTCACTAAAAGGACTACCCCTTCTAACTGTCAGCCTTATCTATATAACCCTGTCCTTCTCTTTATCACCCCTTCCACCTTAACTAACTCTAGACCTGCCCTTAGTCACTTCTATGGTATAAGAATTGACATAAATAGAAAAGACTCCCCGACCCCAGGTATTTTAAAAATATATATTATTCCGCCATCTTCCCCTTCTTCGGTAGCCTCAGATCTAGATCCCACAACAGTTGCTCCTACATCTAATAAAGCTAGGGTGTCTATTGTAAAAATAAGAGATCTAAAACAGACCTTAGCCATCAAGACAAAATATCAAGATGCAAATGCCTGGCTGAAATGGACTAAATAATCCATTCGCACTTTAAATAAAAGCGATTATTATACTTGTACACACCGTAGGCCTGAGGCCCAGATTATCCCCTTTCCACTCCGATGGTCTCCTTGTCGACCAGATATGGACTGTATGGTGGCTGTTTTTCAAAATCCCACAGCTTGGGATAATCCAACATACTGAGCTCTCTCTGCTATATCCTGAAATTCAACACCCTGCGGGTCAACCCCTGAGGGCAATCCAGCTTCCACTTCTGAATGCCAAGTTTACTTCATGCCTCTCACGGCAGGGGTAAAATTTAGTGTTCCTTGGAAGCATAAAAGGATGCAAGGAGCTTAAGCCTTTCCAAGAGCTTGCCCATCCGTCCTCCCCACACACATTTATGGTGGTACTGTGGAAGACCTTTACTGGACACTCTGCCAAATAATTGGAGCAGTACTTGTGCTCTAATCCAATTGGCTATCCCCTTCACCCTGGCATTTCATCAATCTAAAAAGGTAAAAACAAAACACCACAGGCCAAGAAAAACTCTTTATAAGTCTTTTAATCCTCAGGTTTACATAAATGCTATTAAGGTCCTGTGAGAAGTGCCAAATAAGTTTAAAGCACAAAATGAAACAGCTGCAGAATTTAAATGCATGTTATTCTGGTAAGTATTAAAAAAAAGTAGACTAAATAAACTATATCTATTACAATCAGCAATAATTCATAAATTACACTGAGGACACCATCAAAGAGATGGCTAAGCAGTTAGGATCTACCAGCCAGATGGCCTAGAAAAATAAATTTTAAAAAATAGCTTTAAATATAATATTAGCAGAAAAAGGAGATGTTTGTGTCGTAATTAAAACTCAATCTTGGAACCTCTGCAGAAAAAAATTGATTCCTCGGCAGTGTCATGAAAGCAAACCAGTTAATAAAGCTACAAAATTAATGGCTCAATTGTAACACAGTGGTGATGCGTCTAATTCCCCACAAAGACCAATAAATTAAATGTCTTATACAAAACTCAATATTGTACCTTTTTTCCTAATAATACTGCCCTTGATGGAACTATAGCAAAAGCGCTACAAAGGTTAACAGCCCTATCCAATAAACTTGCCTCAGGAGGTCCTGACCAGACATGTGCCCAAGGTGGTCAGAGCACAGTTTGGTTTTACACATTTTAGGGAGACATGAGACATCAATCAACATATGTAAGATGACCATTGGTTAGGTCTGGAAAGCCAGGAGGGAGCTTCCAGGTCATATACAGATAAGAAACAGATGGTTGCATTCTTTTGAGTTTCTGATGAGCCTCTCTAAAGGAGGCAATCAGATATGCATTTATCTTAGTGAGCTTCAGATAATGGGAGGCAGGTTTGGACTAAGCAGTTCCCAGCTTCACTCTTCCCTTTAGCTTAGTAATTTTGGGGCCCCAATATTTATTTTCCTTTCACAATGCATAAGTATTAGGCCACAGAAACAGCAAAGTCTTAACAGAAATGGTGAAATCTTACTAAAGATAAGTTATCATGGAAGGTTCCAAATAAACAACACTGCACTGAAGAAATGCATTTGAAAAATAGGGCTCCCAAATTAGTCTCATCTAGGGATGTCTATTGATATTCAGAAGCTTCTAAAAAGATTTCAATATTTTTATTTAAAGATTTTATGAAAGGCAAATAAAAAGCTTAAGAAACTAATTGATAAGAAAAATTAAATCTGTTAATCTTTGCTTAGTTACTATTCCACCCTAAAGGTAGAAAGAAAGCTATCCTAGATAAGGTATTTATAAAAGTTAAGCCCTCAGGTAAAATAGACTTGCTTCTTGTTCAGACCTATCCATGCGGGAGGCCAGGCATAGAGGATGCTTTCTTGGCTCTGTTCCATAATGAGTTCCCCCTTGAACTCAGTAATTTTAACCAAGAGACAGTGGCTACATTAAAAAGAACACCCTATTGAAATAAAATGCACCTTTCTGGAATTTAATTGGCTACTTTGAAACTCTTTTGTATAAGAAATTTCCATCTATAAAAGAAATCTCAATTTTTAAGGATGTCTGCCTACATACAATAGAAACTCTAACCATTCTTTTAAATTTAAATAATAAGTAATGCCTTTGTTTAAGGTGCTTTTCTATCTTAAGTGAACTTTTACTTGAGCAATTTTTTTTTCTCCTTGATTTGAACAAATAATGAATCAATACTTAGGCTGAGAATCTTAGCTCTGTGCTTATGAAATATACATCCTTTTTGTTACACCTAAGAGTTGTCCCTTTAGAAATGCAAATTTGTTGCTGAGTTAACAATTGCTTAGGGAAATGAAACAGGTAATAGAAAGATTGATACACCAAATGGAGAAAAGAAAAAAGTATTTTAAAACTGGCAAAAGCTATAAGATCTGCTTCTGTTTGTTTGTATGTCTATATGTGTTATGTGTATGTGATATCTGGTAAATAAAGATAGTTTTTAATTTATTGGTAAAATAGAAATGTCTTCAAAATTATCAGTTGAATATAATTAGATACCCACTTGATTTGACTGTGAGCTTATGTCTTTGGTTTAGAGTCTCTGGATTCAGGGGTCTGGATAGGTGGCCATGATGACATCTGGAGACACGTTCTTAGAGTCTAGACCACCAGCTACAAGCCCAATATGGCCTCTTCCTCCTCTGCTTTCCCTGTTTTGCCTCCTGGCTATTGTGGGAGCGGTTGGATCCTCCAAGTATAGTCTTCACAGCTCTGGCTTCTGTCCTGATGGACTCAGGCCCCGATGTTCATAGTCCTCATGGGGGGCACATGGCTTCTTGGGACTTAGAATGACTGGGAAGAGACATTAGGGAGGCTGCCTGTGTCATAGCTTCAAAATTCTTTTCAGTAATTTAAAATCCTAGAGTCATGTTATGTTTAATTAAGTAATAAAAAAATTCACAAAATGAGTCGTGTTCAAGTTAAGATACTGAAATATTCATTATTACACATGCATTTAAGTCTATATACCTTGACATATTATTTCTATATAGTATAGAAAAGTAAATATATTTAGATCTGATAATAAAAAATAATTTGAAGAACTATCTCTCTAAAAAATTATAAAATGCTTTTTATCTACAAATAACTGATATGAAACAGTTCAAAATTACTTTCTAGAGTTTTCACTAGAAATAAGGGTTACTAACAGTTAAAAACTACTGTCAGAAGTGTTTGAACCTGAGCAAATCCATCTTGAATAAGGGCTTCGTAAAATGAGGCTAAGACCTACTGGGCTGCATTCCCAGAAAATTAAGTCATTCTCAGTCACAGGATGAGAAAGAGGTTGGCACAAGATACAGGTCTTAAAGACCTTGCTGATAAAACAGCTTGCAGTAAAGAAGCTAAGACCCACCAAAACCAAGATGGTGATGAGAGTGATCTCTGGTTGTCCTCACTGCTACACTCCCATTAGCACCATGACAGTTTACAAATGCCATGGCAACATCAGGAAGTTACCCCAATAACCCTCTGTTGGGTCCTGGATTGGGACTCCTTTCCTGTAGCATCTTTCTGGTGACCACTAAAGGGACTATAGTGCAGAAAACCCCCACCCAAAAGATAACTGGTAAGTGGTAGGGGCCAGTAATATCTTTCTGGTGAACACTGAGGGGACAATACTGAAGAAACCCCCTGACCCAAAGGAAATAGACTACAGCACTGATTGGCCAACTTTGGGTAAGTGGTGGGGTACCCAGGTAAAGGGTGGAATTGGGTTAGAGGCCAAACTTAGGGGAGTCAGAGTCTCTCCTAAGACAGAGTGGGTTAGCGCACACTTGATAAAAGGCAAGGACACTTTACCCACCTTGGGTTAAAGGCCCAGCTTAGGAGGGTTAGAGTCCCTCTGAAGATTTAAGGAGTTAGAAGCCTGTTTCAGTAAAGTCCCTTTTGGCTAAGAATGGGTTTGGTATTATGAGATGTTAACTGCTATTCTCTTTGGATTAATCAGCCTTGAACTCTTTGCTGACGTCTGTGGGCATGTATAGAATTGTGGGACATGGGGAGCTTTCTCCTCCTTAAAAGGGGAAACTCAAGAGCTCGTGAGACTGCTGGAAAATAGCCCTTTGCTACTGACAAGCAGCCGCCTGAAATTTTCAGTGTCACTGCAATGGGTGCATCTTTCTCTGGCTTCCCTGAGCACCTCACCTTCCCCACCCTGCCTCAAGCAATGCTTCCTCTCTCTCTCTGTCTCTCTCTCTCTCTTTCTTTCTCTCTCTCTCTCTGTGCAAACTGGTTGAATGAATGGTAAAAAGCATTGTTTATCTCCTCTGTAAAGTTTAGATTAATGGAAAACAGGATTTGTGAGGCTAGTCCTAAGCTATAGTGAATCTGGCGTGCTTTGTGTGTCTTTCTGTATTGTTCTGCCATAAAGAGCGGTATGGTAGGATGGAACATGGGCTTAGGACACCAGTAAGCCCACTGTTCAAGATGGCCCAGCAAACTGGTCAGTTATAAATTTTGCGGCAGGTCCCTAAAAACAAAACTGGATGAGATTTCCCTCTTGTCTTGTATATCTTGGGGAGCCTGACCTTGCAGCCATGTAGTGATACTTTCTCTTTTCACAGTGGTGGCCCAGGTTCAGGGTTCAATTCCTGGCTTAGGGAATGAGTCCTTTATCTTATTTTGTCTGTGTATTTATATATGTTGTGTGTGTAATTTAAAAGAGCTTTAATTAAATGGTTTAATAATAAGAGCTTACATCAAATACTTGATCAGAAAAGTAAAACGTGTAATATCTTTTATTTAGTTCACATGATTTAAGTAATCTTTGGGATATAAAGACAGTTTTAAAGATTATTGGTAAAATAAAAATCTTTAAAATGTAAACATTTGGTCTAAATTATGTGGGTCAGATATTAGGTTTTCTAAGTGATTTAAGGTCATAAACTGCTTCTTTGACTTTTGAAAATTGTTCATTTTACCTACTTTGGAGCTTTGGATTCTAGATAAGCCCTAGAACCATGTGGAGCTAGCCACACTCACTAGCTATGCTGGAAAGAGTCGGATCTTATCTGCACTTCTGTCTGGGTCCTAGGCTCCACACCTGGTACATAGTTCAAATCACTTACTAACCAGGTTTTTCACCAAAAATAAAAGTTGCTAAGAGTTAACATTGTATGCACTCCAGCCTGGCAACAAAGCAAGACTCTGTCTGAAAAAAAAAAAAAAGAGTTGACATTATAACATGTAATTGAGACTACTGAAGAAACAGCTTTATGTTCAAGGTGTGTAAGGAAAGTAGAATGTACATTTGATAAAAGATTATAAGAAGGCATGGGAATATGGATTTCTTCCCTAAGTTTAGAGAGTTAAAGGACTGTTTTAAGTTAGGATAAAGCTGAAGGGTTAAGCAAGTTGTTAAAGGTCTGTGAAATATCAATCTCATAGAAGAAATTATCTGTGTGAACATATTGACTAAAATTAAAGGGATGATATTCAGTTTTTTGATAAATTGAACATTGGAATAAAAGCACAACAGGTTTTTCTTAGAGCAAAAACCTGCTTATAATCTGCTGTTTAACCAAAATTTTTAAATGGTTATAAAAGGTTTATTAAAATCTTACCTCATGGTCAAACTGATTAAGATTAAATACATTTGTCTATAAGGTTTTATTAAGATTTGGGTTTAACATAAATAGTACATTAATGTAAAGGTGAAATTTGGCTTATTGGGTACAAAAATCATGCAGGAAGTACTGCCAAATATGAAATGGTGTTTGGCTTTCTTTGGGCTATATTTGAATAAATATGTTTTTGGTATGTAATCCAAAATAATGGGAAACTCCTATAATTCTGATATGACAGTATATGTTATTAATAATTATAATCATTATATAAATTTTTGTATGCCACAAAAATAACCAAATTTCCTTATCACTTGTGGCTTTAATAGTGGCTGTCCTAAGACTTTTTATAATCCACATACAATTGTTGTCTTGTTTTGGTCCTCTTTAAAAGGTGGTTTTATAATCAACTATAGGACTTTAACAGGTGCATTTAAATGGAGATTTTCTGATAACTTTGGAGATTGTGACATTAGAATAGAGAAAACTTTCAGAACTCTCATAGCTGAAATGTTCATGAATATCAAACAGAACTGCATGGACTGAAGTAATGGAAGCTATTTATAGCTTTTAACAATTGAATATATGCCTGTGAACCAAATTTGAAGCATATTTGTTTCTCTCTACCTAATTTCCCCAAAATTTGGAAACTATTTGTGAGTATTCTTAATTTATGGCAATATAATTATTTGCATAAGTGCAATACAAATCTGTTTTATTTTCCATCAGGACAAAATTGGAGAAACTGGTTATTTTATGGAGGCTTTAACTGGAATAGCATGCTTTCCTTTAAGGAATCAAATTTGACTTGTGGAGCCAATGAAAGCCCCTTGAGGAACCGGCCTCAGGCTTTGCCTACACAGTCCCTGTACAGGGTTTCTGCCCTGTGGTAAGTAAAGAATGTCACTTTCTAATAGCCCCAGGAGCCCCCAAGTTATCTTGGAACCCCAAAAGGAGAGGGATTTACTCAAGTCATAGGTATTTGAGGGTTCAAACCCATGGCAGGGCTCAGCTCTAAAAAAAAGTCTTATCTGAGATTCCTTATGGAACAAATAATCAGGCCAAGTATAAAAAAGCAAATCAGTTTTACCACGATTTGTCTTTAGTGAAAATGGGAAACTGGAGAGAAAAATATTATGTTTCAAGAACTATGGTATGCCTGTTATTAAATTCTAGTCTCATCAGTTGTTTTTAAGTTTGTTTCTGCAATTTAGGCTAATCCTGGTTATTCCTATGAACTAACCAGTGATCTCTGACTCCTGCTCAGAAGAAACAAGAGAGATGGGTAATGTAAAAATCTAAATCAATATTCTAATTCTGGGCACACTAGAATCAGCTAGCAACCCCATATCAGCTTGGTTCCAACAGTTGCCAATTCATGGAAAGCCTTCTAATTTAGTTTACTTGAGATAATTTTACTTATTTTGTTTTACTGTTGTAAAATATATTGCTGTTGTACTCTTTGTGTAAAAATGCAGAATAAGCTTACTGAATATTTTCTTAAATTGAACACTTATTAATCTTTCAAATAGTGCCTTTTGTTGAAACTTGGATTTTGAATGGCCCTCACCATACTGATGACTTGTGACTGAGCTCCTCACTACTCCACATATGAGAGGCAGGAATAGAATACCCCTAATAGATAGACAGGAATATCATCACCCTTATTCAGCCTGAGAAAGTTACAGAAGATGGATCTTCATCCTTCTGCAACTCTTAGGATTAAGGGTTCTCTTATAAAAGAGAACAGGGAAATGTCAGAAGCATTTGAGCCAGGGCAACTCCATCTTGAGGAGGGGCTTGGTAAAATAAGGCTGAGACCTACTGGGCTGCATTCCCAGACAGTTAAGGCATTCTAAGTCACATGATGAAACAGGAGGTTGGCACAAGATACAGGTCATAAAGACCTTGCTGATAAAACAGGTTACAGTAAAGAAGCTGGCTAAAACCCATCAAAACCAAGATGGTGATGAGAGTAACCTCTGGTTGCCCTCACTGCCACACTCCCATCAGTGCCATGACAGCTTATAAATGCCATAGCAACATCAGGAAGTTACCTTATATGGTCTAAAAGGAGAAGCATGAATAATCCATCCCCTGTTTAGCATATCAAGAAATAAGCATAAAAATGGGCTACCAGCAGACCTCAGGTCTGATCTGTCTGAGGAGTAGTCATTCTTTTATTCCTTTATTTTCCTAATAAATTTGCTTTCACTTTACTGTATGGACTTGGCCTGAATTATTTCTTGCATGAGATCCAAGAACCCTCTCTTGGGGTCTAGATCAAGACCACTTTCCTGTAACACTACCAGATATGAGAGAAACAATTTTGTATACAAAGTGTATAAACAAAAGCAAGATATGTGTTTGAAGAGGAAAGTTATGAAGGCATAAAAGTGTGTGTTAAAAATTTTGTCTGTTTTGAAGTAACTTAAAGGTTTCAAACTGAAGGAGTGAAAAAACATATAAAGCAAGGTGAATATAAAAATTTGGATAAAACTGTAAAACAAAAGGTTTATGGAAATCTTGTGCAGTTAAAAGATGACAGCTTTGATAAATGAATTAATTAGGTTGTATTAAAATTAGTTTTAGTATTAATAATATACTAATACAAAAGTAAAACTTGATTTTCTCTTTTGAATAAAAATTGTGGGTAGTGTTAATAAGAGTAAAATATTTTTATTAACCTTTTGTGTAAATTGCAAAAAGAAAAAAGATAAAAAGGAAAAATCAAAAGGTCTTTTGATTGTTTGGAAAACTGTTTGAGTCTCCCTTATCAAAGAATACAAGTTTTTGTTTAAAAAAATCAATTATCACTTTGACTAAATAAATGACTATTGTTTTACAGTAACCTGTGATCCTATTTTGGTCAAATGTTTTAAACCTTTGACATATTTGAGAAGTATGTCAGGTTATATTTTGATGATTGTTATTAATATATGTTCCAAAATTGTATGGGATTTCTAAACTTCTAATATGTCTCACTATATGCTAACAATCATAATCATGTTAGCATGTTGTCATTGTAGACCACAAAAATAACCAAATTTCCTTGTCAACTGTGTCTTTAACTTATTATTTACAGTCATTTCCATAGTTTATAACTTAATTCTGATGCAGTTTCTGAAAACTTCACAAGCATGCAAAATCCTAGCATATAATGTCTTTAAGGAGGTTAATGAAAGGATGAAATTACCCTGAGAAGCACTCTTCAGTAAAGGTTTCTAATAACTTTAGAATCATATCGTTTGGCCTGGGTAAGAATTCCTGGAACTTTATAATAGTAGCTCATTATGCCATAGTGTATTTTCACCAGGTAAAGAAAGTTTTTCATGGTTCACTGACTGAGAACAATCAACCACTTCTCAATTTAGAACCCTAGAGACTGCTTGGGTTAAACCAAGCAGGACAAATTTAACTGAATAACAATAAAACACTTTGCCAGATTTCCATGCTAAACATATACAATTTGAATAAACTCCATGATTTAAGTCAAATTACCTATGCTAATTCATCAGTTATCAGTGCTATCCACCTAAATTGGAGAAACAACTGTTATTCAAGAGAATATAAGTCCAATGTTAAGCATGGGCTCATAGAAAATCAGGTTGGCCGCCTTGTCTTTCCTGAGTCCTTAGAGCTTTTGTTATTAAAAGTTATGCATTTTATGGCTCATCATAGAAATATAAAATAATCCAACTTAAGTATATATATTGGTGTGGTGACTTCTGTAAAAGGAAAATAAATCTTGAAACACCAGATAACTATACCAAAGGGAAAAGTCAAGCTGGAAACTGTTTAGGGTAAACCTGCTTCCCGTTCTATTCCAAAAACACAAACAAACAAACAAACAAACAAAAAAACTACTAAGATGAAAAAGCTACATACCTCCCTCACAAGGAATTTTCTTGTTGACAAAGGACAGGCAGAACGCAAAGTCACCCCTCTGCTCACTGAGATAAATGCATATCTGATTGCCTCCTTTGGAAAGGCTCATCAGAAACTCAAACATATGCAACCATTTGTCTCTTACCTACCTATGACCTGGAAACCCCCTCTCCACTTCAAGTTGTCCCCACCTTTCTGGACGGAATCAATGTACAACTTACATATATTGATTGATGTCTCATGTCTCCCTAAAATGTGTAAAACCAAGCTGTGACCCGACCACCTTGGGCACATGTCATCAGAACCTCCTCTGGACACATGTGAATCCTTAACTATGGTGAAATGAAATTCCTAAATTGACTGAGATCTATCTCAGATATTTGGAGTTCAGACTTCTAAATTGCTAAAATAGTTTATGACCAAAGTTTGGTTTGTCAAACCCATATTCCTGAGAAGAAAATCAAAACTTCAGGTGAATTCTGCTACCTGATGGGCCATTTAAACATTTAAAGAGTGATTTTGTTCAATTGTCATTTTCAATGCATGTTTTCTGGTTGTATAAAAGCTTTCCCATGAAAGAGGGCTGAAGTTATAATAGTAGCTCATTATGCCACAGTGTATTTTCACCAGGTAAAGAAAGTTTTTCATGGTTCACTGACTGAGAACAATCAACCACTTCTCCATCTAGAACCCAAAGACTGGCTCTTCTGAGAACATCAGAAAGACTGCCCTGGCTATCCACGTTGAAGCAAAACTTTGGGACTTTTAACCTTGCGTTCATAATCTCACAACTCAGTAGGGTCCCTCCGCACTGTTGGAACTGCATACCTATTGGAAACCTTCAGGTAAAGCTAATCAGGGAAGTTTCTCCCCGAAAGAAGATGGCATCCATGATGTGAACAACTTTTTCTGAAGATCATGGAGCAAGACTTCTCTACTATCATACAACCCCTATCTTTCAATTTTTTTCCTTATCTATCCATTTTTTTCCTATGTTTATGCCTCTATGAACAATAGAAGTGAAAAGGGGATCTGTTGTGTGCACTCATAGGGTTACAATTTTATTTGTGAAGGATTTTGCAGCCAGTCTTATACATGGATAACCTTAAACCTTGATAGATGGAAGATAAAGACCCAATGTATGTGAGAAATTTTAATGGTACATACATAACCTCATAGTCAGTCAGAAACAGAACATTGGTCCACTCCTCTTAACCTACATCATGTGTTAAAGAGAATATTGCCAGATGATCTTCACCCTTCTAGAAGGGCTTCATTCGTTAGGTCCTTTTTTCCATGTATTGGAGTAAATGAGGCAATTTATCCCTCATGATAGGCTCTGTAGGAGATCCTACTATAAAGGCTGTGACTACACAACAGACTTGAAATTATCTTGTGAAAGTTATGCTAAATAATAGAATTGCTCTAAGTTACTTACTGGCTAAACAGAGAAGTATCTGGCACTTCTTGTTGCCCATGGAGAAACTTATCACATGGGATAGTATAAAGAATCAGTTATAAGGGATTATCGAAGAGACTACTTAATTGAAGTGAGTAGACTCTTTGTCTAGCTCATTCTTTGATCTATTTGATTTTAGTTGGTTTGGTTTAAGGGGACCCTGGCTAAGGAACATACTGCAAACTCTTGGTGTTATTCTCCTGATAGTCATCATAGTAGTCTCCCTGGTACACTGTATTCTTGCAAAATTTTAAATGTTTGCAGGCAGCTATCTCTAGAAGTCAAATGGTCTCTCTTCAATTGGAATAACAAGAGCTGAAAGAAATGTGTGAACATAAGCGCACCATAACCTCTGAATTACATGCTGAGATCAGAAACTCAAAATGATGGTAACTGAGAGTGGTGCTGAGGCCCTAAATTTTGGTCACACTCTCACCTAAGTAAGAACCTGACCAGAATGGGGCACTTTCAGGGGAGGCCATTGTTTTGGTCTGAGCTCATGCACTAGGCCCCAGCAGAACAGACCAAAATAAAATGAAGTCACTTATGCTGAATGTGACATAATCAAACTAAGACTTTAAGGAAACACATAGATCCTAGAACAGATCAGGTTTTGTTTTTTCCTGTACACAGGACATTTCAGGATAAGGAGGTACCCTCTACACAACTCTTGCAAAAAACAATCTAAAGTCCTTGTTTCCACCTGCAAAACACACTGTTCTGCTATTTCCCATTGAGTTTCAAGATGAAATAAGTACATTTACAATGATGATAGTGACATCAATGACTACAGTTTTGGTCATCCTCTCAAACTCAAAATAATTCACAAATCATTATTGCCCAATTAAAACTTTTAAATTTAATTTGGCTAAAGCTTTTATTTTAATAATGTATAAAATGTGAATAAAAATAGTACATACCCTATAGGATTGTCATGAACCTTAAAAAGTATGCTAAATGTATGTTAAACAGACAAGTGCCTGATTCTTGGTAAACACTATGTTCTGATTTATGGTTGCTATTATTTTTATAATTGTTTATACCAGATTGAAAGAATAAATTATTAAGAGAAAAACTTTGGCTGAATTAAATTTAAGAGAGTTTAATTGAGCAAAGATCAATTCGTGAATCGGGCAGCCTCCCAAGCCAGAGTAGGTTCAAAGACTCTAGCAAAGTCACGTGACAGAAGAAGATTTATGGACAGAAAAAGGAAAGTGATATATAGAAAACGGAAGTGAGGTACAGAAACAGCCAGATTGGCTACAGCTCAGCATTTGCCTTATTTGAACACAGTTGGAACAGTTGGCTACCTTTGATTGGTCAAAACTCAATGATTGGCACAAGAGCTGCTACAGTCTATTTACAACTTGATATGGTTTGGCTGTGTCCTCACCCAAATCTCATCTTGAATTGTAGCTCCCATAATTTCTACTTGTTGTGGGAGGGACCTGGTGGGAGATAATTGAATCATGAGGGTGGTTTTTCCCATACTGTTCTCATGATAATGAATAAGTCTCATAAGATGTGATTATTTTGTAAGAGGTTTTCCTTTTTGCTTGGCTCTCTCATTCTGTCTTATTTGTCACCATGTAAGATGTGCCTTTTGCCTTCCACCATGAGTATGAGGCCTCCCCAGCCACATGGAACTGTGACTACCATTAAATCTCTTTTTCTTTATAAATTACCCAGGCTTGGGTATGTCTTTATCATCAGCATGAAAACAGACTAATACACAACTCCATTTGGGTTATAATTCACAATGTACAGAGAAACCTTTAGGCTGAAATGCGTAAGGAGGCAGTGTATTAGTCTGTTTTCATGCTGCTATGAAGAAATACCAGAGACTGGGTAATTTCTAAGAAAAGAGGTTTAATTGACTCACAGTTCCACCTGGCTGGGGAGGCCTCAGGAAACTTGCAATCATGGCAGAAGGCATCTCTCCACAGGGCAGCAGGACAGAGAATGAGTTCAAGCAAGGAAAATGCCAGACGCTTAATCAGATCTCATGAGAACTCACTCACTATCACAAGAACACCAGGGGGGAACCACCCCGTGATTCAATTACCTCCACCTAGTCCCAGCATTGACATGCGGGGATTATGGGGATTACAATTTGGGATGAGATTTGGGTGAGGACACAAAGCCTAACCATACCAGGCAGCTTTAGGCTAAACTTGGTTAACAGTATCAAGAATATATGCACCTTCTCTTCTGAAGCCTGCCATTGATCTCATTATTAAAATCATTTCATTGAGTTTCATGGAGGAAGCTCTGACATTGCTCAGATTAGCATCTATTTTGAGTAGATGGTGACAGAAGCTGGGTAGGGAAATAGGAAAGATGAAGGACAGCAAAGCCAGCTCCCTTTTCTCTCTGGCCCACATAATTCAGCCTGTGAGACAGTGGCTCCATAGCAAATAATCCTGGCTATTTTTTTATCCAAAATAAATCTAAGCCTCCCCTAAACACACATAATATTCAACAGTGGAAAGAAAAAAATATGAAACATCAATAGTCAGTCCCAGATAGAAAACAAGAAACCAGGAAACCACATATAGAACAAATAGCAACAGATCTTGGCTGCTCTGCCACCTTCACCTAGGTCGCTGAGATCCTGAAACAAAGTTCAGTTTTCCCAACCCCTCCATCCTTCAGGTTATGTTCATTCATTGAAGAAATTGATGCAATATTTCCTAAGTGCCAGAAACTGTCTTTGGTACCAGAGTTACCACACTGAATGCAGAGACAAAAATCCAATCCCTCAAAAAAAAAAAAAAACTATTCTAGGTGACAAAACATTTAAGTATGGAGAATTCAGTATATTGGCTAATAAATCAAGGGAAGAAGAGGGATGGAATGTGCAGAGTTTGGGATGTGGCAATTGTAGAAACGGTAGCCAGGCAAGGCCTGAGAAGCAGCATTTGAATAATGGCCTGAAGGAAGTGAGAAAATAGCAATTGAAATACCAACGGGGAAGAACAAGATAGTCTGAAGAAAAAGCAAACCGAAGACCCTGGGCATGTCCCGAGTGTCCAAGTGAGGAAGGCTGTGGCTGAGCAAGGTGGAGCCGAGAGAAAGCAGTCAGTGTAATATTAATAGCAGTCCTATTATAAGACACACCAGGATGAGCTAGACTTTGCAAGGAATGTGGCTCTTACTATGCTTCAGGCATGTCCTTATTAAAACTGCCATTGCAAAAATTATGTCACTGAGAAAATTATGACCGTGAATGAGATTTGAGCTAACCCCACATAGGCACCCCACATCTTGCCTTTCCCTTAATTAATCCTGGGCTACTGGGCTGAGCTAACTTTGGAAGACAGTTAGGCTATAGTTTAAATGACAAATAGGCTTTGCCCAAAACTCACCAGCTTTTTTAAAGCAAATAGGAGGCCATCAGGCTGGGGATAGGAGAGGAACCTGAGTCCTGCTAAGGCACAGGCAGGAAAGATTGTCAGCCATTATTCCAGAGGCTATAAGATATGCAACTTCCCCAGTTATTCCTGCAGACAAGACACGATTGTAGATTGGCCTTTTGAGATGTCTTTCAGGTTTTTTGCTTGTCTCACACCCATGGCTCCACCTGGACCCACCAACTCTGATCTCATGGCCCCACCTAGAAGCGATTCAGCCCACAGAAGGACAGCTTTGACCCACTATGATTTCATCTCTGCCCTAACCAATCAGTAGCAAGCCTAGCCACCCCCACCCCTTTCCCCAAACTGAGTTTGAAAAACACCTAACCTAAGAGATTTGGAAGAGATGATTTGAGTACTAGCTCCATCTCCGACATGGCTTGACCAGCCTTATGTTTATTAAACTCTTTCCTACTGCAGTGCCATGGTCTTCATTTTACATACAGTGGGCAAGAAGAACCCCTTGGGTGGTTACAATATTTGTTTTAAAAATATCATTTTTGTTACTTAATAGAGAAGAAGGCAAAATCAAAATAATTTATGGATGAATCAGATTGTGGATGGATCTTATTTTATAATGGGAAGGGGGAATTGTTGGTCTGGAGGTTGTAAACCAAAAATAAAATTTGAAGTCCTCCCACTTGTCCTTCAACCTTCTAAATGGACTCATCCTGGACCAGGGCCCTCCAGATTTAATGTGAAAGACTGGTTCAGGCCATGACAGGAAGCGGGGAGCGGGACATGCCTCAGTATGCCATCTTCCCTTTTGTAATTCAGGAATAGCAGAACAGCATTTGACATAAACACAGCCTTTAATTCTGATAAGAAACATTTGCATTCTATTCTCTCTGAAGCCAGCTTCCCGGAGGCTTCATCTGCAGGGTAAAACTTTGGTGTCCCCAAATATCTTATCATAACCCAGATATTCCTTTCTATTTCTGATAAGTTTTTCAACCAATTGCCAGTCAGAAAATTTTTAAATTTAACTATAACCTGGAATGCCTACTTCAAGTTGTCCCGCTTTTCTGGACTGAACCAATGTATAGCTTAAGTGTATTTGATTGATGTCTCATGTCTCCCTAAAATATATAAAACCAAATGGTAGCCAAACCACCTTGGGCACAAGTTGTCCAGACCGCCTGAGGGTATATCACGGGCCATGGACACTTATCTTCGGCTCAGGATAAATATTTTCAAATATTTCACAGAGTTTGACTCTTTTTGTCAACAAGGTGTTTGAGAGAAATTTAGCGCATAAATTATGCTTCCTTCCTTTCTCAAACTCTTCTTATATCCCAAAACTATTTCATTTCCTTTCTTGGTTGGATAAAGACATAGTTTTTTTAATTCCACAATATAGAATCCACGGAAAGAATAGCTGACCCTACATGACCTAGGAATTTTAGCTGCAGGCATTAAAGGTCACTTTTAACAAAAAGTGATGGACATGATGACATGTCCATCGTATCTTTGATGACAAGTGATGACATGATGGACATGTCACAGCAGAAAGAGAATCTGGGCCTGATGGCTGTTTAGAGTCACCAGTCCAACCTCATATTTATCTGCCTTGAGTCCTCCATATGAGAAGAAAATAAAAGAACATCTCCATGGTTTAAACCTCTGGCAGTTAGTTGGTTTTGTGTTACTCATATTTGTAAACATTACTAACAGATATGCCTTTCTCTACTATTTGATCTTTTAGCCATGTGCATCCAATACTTTATTAAAATTTTAAATATTAAAATATTAAAATTGTAATATTAAAGTGTAAGTGAGTTAATTCAGTAATCTGCAGAGTCTCTGCCTGTGGAAAGTTATAGGCTAAATAGGATCAAAAGTCCCTTTTTCACTTACTTGGGGTACCACGGAGTATCCACAGAAAAGTTTATTATAAGATCCAGACATGGTTAGTACAACATAGAAAATATTTTGTCATTGCCCTTACATTCAGTGATATCAGCTTATGGAAAGTAATTCTACTTAATTATATTCACTGCTGAAGACAAGATTTATGTTATTTGAAAACACATTATGATACATTAATTTGGAAAAAAATACCTACAATTATAGTGTAGAAGGAACAGAGACAAAAAGACATGGCAGCATTATTGCCATTAAGATGGATAAATTAGAGGTAAAGAGGTGATTTCTGGGTAATTTAGTTTCTTTTGTCACTGAATGTCTGTTTAAAGGGTAGTTGATAAATTAGTGAATATTTAGGCATTAGTGATTATCCATGGTTAAGATACTTCCCTCTTGGGAGTACTTCTATGGGATATGTAGAAAATGCTTTTAATTTAAATACACTCTCTAAGAGTAAATCTTATGGCATATAAACTCCAAGTTTAATTGGGATATATCAAAATTTCATCTATTTTTCCAATTTTTTCAAATAATACCACAGAGATGACCAAATACTCCAACCACACATGAGAACTAAGTTTCAGGGACAAGCATAGACGATCTGAAGTAGAAGAGCTGAAGGAACCTGGAATACAGCAGTTTGAAGGCTGTTATAAACATAGCATGTGATTTGAAAATTCAACCAGCAAAGAAAAGCTATAAACTTCACATGAAATCTGACTTGCTTCTGGACTCCGCAGCCCATTATAATGCTTGTCAGCTCTATTTAAATAGCTCCTCTCAAGTTGACTTTTAGGCTTTTTTTAAGTGTTGATATTGAAGATTTCTGAAGCAAAGCAAAAACAAAACTGGTGTTACTGATATCCAACTGTGTCATCTGTAAAAGTGAAGAAAATAGTATACTTTCTTCCTTTCTCTTGCTTTCATTTTTTTTCTAAAATAACCCCCCTCCCCCCATGAATCACTTATTTTTTCAGTTGACAAAGTCTAAAATTCTGCTTCCCACTTTGGGATTGATATTTGAATTCCTTATTGCATCTCAAACCTGTGAATTGTTTCAGGAATTATTTCCATGTCTTTGTTATATGTTCTTTCAGAGAAAACGAATCACAACACAGTAGCTGGTAACAATTAATAGTACAATATTAGAAAGCTCTTCATCTCAAAGGAGGGCAGAGTGTTGGCAAAGACTATTATGCAAATAATTGCCTCTTCTCTGAAAAATATCACCTTCTGCACACTAGGAAATCAGCATCCATCACACCATGACAAAAAGTAGAGCCTCTTTTCTCATCACCAGCACGGCTGAAGCATGAAGTTTAAAACACAGAAATTTCTGAAAGCAGAGGTTTAAAACCTGTTGAAGTTTCACAGCACTTTAGATAATTAACGGCCACCTACATTTACTCTGCTTGTTTATTTTATGGCTCAGAAATGTAGTAGTTCTCAGAAAACTGCCTTTGTGTACATACTGAGAATCATCAGTGTGTATATATCTAAGTCCTGATCCCACAAAGAGTAAAGCAAATATTACATTATGGATTTTCGTGAGGATGATGACTCAGTTGGGTGCTTTAACTTAATAAGGTAGCTCATGAAAACTACCTATTGTAGAAGTGCCCTGGTCTCAGAAGCAGGAACCTGCAGTCCCACAGGGCAGCTTTGCAGGAGCTCAGAGGCTGTGCCCTACAGGAGTTGTGCAACATGGAGGTACGTGTTCTTGTTAAAGGAATGCTACAAATTAATGATTCAAAGTCACTTCATCTCTTAGGGCTTCACTTTACTCCTCTCTAAAATGGAAGATTTGCCTTTGGTAATCTTTAAAGAACTTTCTGACTATATAAATCCATGCTTTCCAAAAATCATTCTCAGATGATTAGTCTCTGAGTCAAAAAATCGACCTGTTCTGAATCACGCTAATATTTATTTAAAAGCCATAATATATAACCAAGAATCTCATAAAGCAAAAATAATAATAAGGTATTGAAGAAGGTATTTGTCTTTCTGAAAAAAATCAAAAAGAAGAGCTAATATGCATATGATATCCTAAAATAGGATTAAACCAACAATTTTTGCTACCTCCACAGATTAGGCAAATAAAATAAAAGTTTTTCACTCTTTCCATTAAAACTGCTTGCATTTAATTATATTCTATTCATGAAAGAAAAGTAATCTCATATGCTATGAGGCCACAGTTGTTTATTCTCCTGTGGATTAACCCTCATTTCACTCCTGAAAAAAGAAAAATGGGTTCCTACTTTCTGAATATAAAGTGGATTTTTAACCAAATGAGATTAAAATATGAAAAGTGATTTATCTTTGTTCTTCTCATTCATGTTAAAATAGCCTGCCACTTTGTCACCTTGCGTCAACCTGTCGAATTTAGTTACTGGCCTCATTTTACCTTTAGCTACTGTCTGTCCAGTCAGAGAAACACCTTTTAATTTCCTTAGATGGCCTTAAATATAGGTTTAATCTCCTCTCTTTCTCTTTTCTGCCATCGCAGTTGTCTAAGCTGTCATCTCTGAGTTATTCTTTGCTAGATAAATGTTTTTCAAAAATAAAAACTAATTTTTATTTTTATCATTGCCGCCACTTGCCCCTCTCAATGGCTTTTTAGTATTTAGACTGAGGATCTATAAGGTTTTGCATAATCTAGACCTCTCTTGATGATTACCTCAATGCTAAGCTCTAGTGACACTGGCTTCTTTCAGGTCCTTGACAAAAACCATGCTTTCTCACCAAGAAGTCCATTCCATAGGTGTAGGATGACACACCCACTCACTTTTAATCTTATTAAACCCTATTCTACTTTTATACTCTAACACCACACCATATCCTCAGGAATATGTTCCCGGACAACCTAACTCAATGCTATATCTTCCTTTTCCATAAACAAAAACATACACTTACCTAATACCAACCGCTTATTCTGAAAAGCACTTTCCTTAATTGTAATTTTATATGTATAGTCAGTTCTCATTATCCAAGGTAGTTATGGTCTATGAAGTTGCCACCAACACTGAGTTAGTGAATACTGAATAATTGTTCCAAGGAGAAATACAGGGTTAGTTTCCTGGGAGCCTCTGCTTACATTTTTGTCAATTGATCAATACATAACCTTGTTTTGTGTGTGTTTCTGGATAACACCACCTTATTTAATATGTACTGGTGATTAATTGACATTGAGCTCACATTGGTACTGATAACTCATGCCTGAACAAAGCTTACCCAACATATGAATTTTCTCCCTAAGGTACAACATGGTCTTCTTGTGCTTAGAAACACTAGACGGGACCTCAGCCCTAGGGTTAGGTGCTGTTTTAAACAACAAAATCACCATAAAAAGCACAAAATGCAAAACATGTAGCAAAAAATAGGCCACAAAAAGAACACTGGTTTACACAGCGCTGAAACAAGATGCTTACTCAGAGTGTCACCTTGTTTGACATCAGCCTGGAGTGTGCACAGCAGCCACCAAAATTTTTGCCCCTCTGTACATGCCTGTGAATAATTGCAAAACTGCAGTGAGTATTAATCTTGGGATTATAAATAAATTTTAGCACTCAGGCAAATTTGCAAACACAGAATCTGCAAATAAGGAGGATCAACTGTATTTACATAAGCATGTGTTTAAGGTCTATTTCTCCACTCTACTGTAAGCTCCATGTAAGCAAGAATCATTTCTCACCACTGTATTCCCAGCACCTGAATGGCACACATAGACACACACACACACAAAACACTTGATTCGTATTTTCTTTAATAAAGCAGTCCTAGACATCACTATCAAAACAGTGCTTCCCATCCTGAAAATCTTTCACTTGGTTTTCATTCCCCCTCCACTGAAAATTCAAGTAGTTCGTGTTTTGACTCAAATCCTTCAAACAACCTTTATTCTATTAAAGAATAATACAGCACAACCTAAAAATCCAGTGAGTTGGGAAAGATATGAGAATACAATCATAAGGTCATCACTACTACAAAATAAAAAATATTTCAGAAACTTTATGTTCCATCTAGAAAAAGGCTCAGAACAAACGACTTTTCACCTCAAGTTAATATAAACAACCTTGAATCCAACATCTTGTCTTCCAAATCATATCTGTTGTCTACATCAGAAACCTGTGAGTCAACACTGGCTCTTTCCCACCTAAACTTGATGATTGGTTGATCATAAAGAATAATCTACTTATGGATTATTTTGACATTCTGACTTCCCCTACCTACTAAACAGCATCTCTAAGAGAATGTTACTAATTTTCATTTTGTTAGCCACTCTTCCGATAGACAAACAATGACTCATTAATCAACAAAATACCCCTTCATTCAGCCCTCCCTCCATTCTGCCATCCACACCACCTCCAGCACTGCACAACTACTGAGTGTTCTCACTAGGAAATGTGTTTGTCCTCAAATACAAATGTCTGTATCAGACGTGTTGGATGAATTATAACTTTAGTTTTTAATGTAGTACGTATACTTTCAAGATACATTAGCTAATTAGAGGCTGCTGGAAATTATTAATGGTGAAGTTATCTTTTTGGGTTCCCTGACATTTCACATAGAATGCTAGTTTCAAGTTATACTAACAAATTAATACTGTACAATTTATATCATAAATATCTATAACTAAGTTTTTCTTATGAATTTAGGTTTAATAAATATTTGTAAGTTATTTTTACATGATTTCATTTTTTTTAATTTGGTCTGTGGGAGATGTAATTTTCACATACCTGTAATGTAAAATTATAATTCCTAGTGCTATTTTATGATCTTAATTCATCTGATACATAGAAATAATAACACCTATTAAGTTTTTTGTCATATATATGTATATACATATGTATCATTAATAAAGTGATACTTGGAAAATCTGCAATATTATCTATACCATCTCTCATTAAGTAACATTATTAACAATCACTTTTTTTTGTATTTTGAGTATATTAACTTGATATTCAACTACTCTTATTAAAATTGTACCTGTCAGTAAAACTAGCCAAATTTAAGATAAATGTTAATATTCAACAGAATATTTCAGATGTATTTTTACTATAATTAACACTAAAATAATTTCCTTTTTATAACTCACCATGTATGTAGTTTTTATTGTGGAATAATTAAAGTATCTGTCTAGTCACTGGAAATTAGACTTTGAAATACAGTTTTAAAAGTTGGAAATAGTGTCCTGAGCTTTGTACATTATATTATTTTCTTGTATTTCAGAAAGATCACTCTCAATATAACTCTGTGAATGCTTGCAGCTGCACACTTTTGAAAGATCACATAAAAGTACATTTGAATGTGTAATCATTCTTGCATATGTCAGTATTTTACTTGAAATCTCAACCAAGAAAGGATAAAGCCTTGATAATCACATATAGCATGAGAGAGAAAACCATGTATTTCTACTACACATCATATCATAAAGAGAATGGGCGTGGATTGAATGCTAATGACATTGGGACTTCTTTTGAAAGCCCATAACAGATCAACCAGGTTCTATAAGTTCTTCTGTAGGAGAACTCCATTTCTAGATAAATACTTCTCCTAGTTTTTACCTGTAACTTGGTATTTCTAATTTTATTTAGAATTTGGGTAATTTAAACATATTTAAACAGTACGACTATGTTAAAAAATTTGTATCCATTCATCTGTTGATGAATAACAGGTTGATTCCATATTATGGCTATTGTGAATACTACTGAAATGAACATGAGAGTACAGACGTGACTTCAACAAACTGACTTCAAGTGGTATATACAGGCAGTGAAATACTATTCAGCCTTAAAGAAGGATATTTTGTCATTTGTGACAACACAAATGGAACTGGAGAACCTGAGGCTAAGTGAAATAAGCTAGATACAGAAAAATAAATAACACATGTTCTCACTTAATATATGGAATCTGAAATGATTCAAGTCATAGAAACAGAGGAGTAGAGTGACTGTTACAGAGGATGGAGGATTTGAGCAGGGGGGTGATGGTTGATGAACACAAAATTTCAGACAGGAGGAAAAAATATATGCATATATATATAGTTCTATTGCACAGCATGGTGAATATAGGTTAATAATAATTAAATATATTTCAAAATTGTTAGGAAAGTACATTTCAAATGTTCTCATCACAAATATTAAATATTTAAGGTGATGTATATGTTAACTAGTTTGATTTACTTACTCCACATTCTATTTATAAACCAAAACATCACTTTGTACATCATACATTTATATAAAGTGTCAATTTATAATTCAACAGAAAATTTTCTAACAATAGGCTGAATAGCAAAATGAACTAAAATTAAATATAAACATAATGTTGGCTCTTAAAATGTCTAAAAGTAGAAAAAATAGTAATAGTTTTTAAAGTAAAACAAAAATAAATTGTTAACAGGTGAGCAAATTCTTAAGTAGGTTCTTGCATGCAATCTTTTTTAAATTTTACTAAATGATTAGAGAATAGAAAACTTTGACTTGGAAAATATAGTCAATTTTTTATAACCATTGTAAACATTCCATACTTTCTGGGGCTGAATGAGATAATACATTTTTAGTATCAATAATTGGTGTCACAGATATTAACAAAATAGCTCACTAATAATGGCTTTCTGTAAAGACACGTGCACATTTTAACTTTATATTCTAGGTACAATGTTTTTACTTAGTATTATTTTATTGCTCTATACCTATATTTTTTATTAATAAATATAGTAGCATTTGTATAAGGTTGATTATTGGTCTTATTTGTACAATTAAATAGCTCAGTCTGCAGAGTTTCTTAAATTGTTGCATTTCTCAAAAACTTTCTTGTAATTTAGCATATTTTCCCAAATGTCATTCATTTTACAGGTAGGCAAAATTAAATATGTATACAACCACACGCTAAAATTTGTCATCTTAGTGACCGTTTATGTGTTATTAGACATGGTATATCATCTTACTTACAAAATGCATAATTTTAAAAATTTGATATTTGTTAATATATTACTTTCAACTACCCGAAGCGATACTAATTTTTCTTTTTTCCCACAAAATTAAAACAATATGCTCAACATAATTTGTTAGTTAATATTTTTCCCATCAGAACTCCATAGCTAATGATCTACTTGATCTTTTTGGTATTGAACTTTAAAAAGAACAAGTCATGTTCCGTAATTATTTTTATTTTTAAAAATATTTCAGCTCATGATGTTAAACCAGATACACGGATACTTATGTTACAATTCCAAATGATAATATCAGTTGTTTATATGGGTTAGAAATTGGTTTTATATTTTACTTTTGATTATTATTTGTTAGTATTTAGTAGCCACATTTATCAATATCTTGTCAGTTCAGTGTCATGACTATTTGTTAATAACATCTTTTATTTTTTCTATTTTCTTTACATTTAAAATATTCTAAGCCAGGTGCAGTGGCTCACGCCTGTAATCCCAGCACTTTGGGAGGCCGAGGAGGGTGGATCACGAGATCAGGAGTTCGAGACCAGCCTGACCCATGGTGAAACCCCGTCCCGTCTCTACTAAAAATACAGAAAAATTAGCCTGGCATGGCGGTGTACACCTGTAATCCCAGCTACTAAGGAGGCTGAGGCAAGAGAATCTCTTGAACCCGGGAGGTGGAGGTTGCAGTGAGCTGAGATCGGCCATTACACTCCAGCCTGGGCGACAGAGCGAGACTCCGTCAAAAAAAAAAAAAAATCCTAAATTCCCTTCTCACATCACAGACCTGACATTTGTAATGTTAATTCCATTCCTTACTTCCTTACTGCTTTTAATGGAGATTATTTCACTATGTTAATAGTAAAATGGAGTTACTATGTTAACTCTACTTTTCTCCAATTTTATTCAAGTGGTTATATATTTTTACTTTGGTCTCATTTCATAACTTTTTTTTCACAGTATCTATGCTTTTTTAAGAGAAGAAAATATTTGTGTCAAGCTAGCTTCTCTCCTCTCTAGCAGATCTCATAAAGAATTATACTTTTCAGGCCAGGCGCAGTGGCTCACGCCTGTAATCTCAGCACTTTGGGAGGCCGAGGCGGGTGGATCACCAGGTCAGGAGATCAAGACCATCCTGGCTAACATGGTGAAACCCCGTCTCTACTAAAAATATAAAAAAATTAGCCAGGCGTGGTGGCAGGCGCCTGTAGTCCCAGCTCCTGGGGAGGCTGAGGCAGGAGAATGGCGTGAACCCGGAAGTCGGAGGTTGCAGTGAGCCGAGATTGCGCCACTGCACTCCAGCCTGGGCAACAGAGCGAGACTCCGTCTCAAAAAAAAAAAAGAATTATACTTTTCAGTGTCAATATTAGTTTCCATTTTGGTTTATGTTGCAAATTTTTATGGGCCACACTTTGGCTTTGTATATTAAGTGAATTAATTTGTATAAGCAGAAATCTGAACAATCTAAATAATTGCTTACAAAATAGTAGATTTTTATGTTAATCGTCTTGCCATTTCTGCAGCAACTATTAAAATCTTACATGATCTAAACTCAATAGTTTGAATGTCATAAATGTCTTCCATCAAGTCAATGCACCGTACTCCTGGAAGAGTTGAAAGATATCTGGAGCCATTGCTTTCTCCCCCGCCAAGATTTGAAACGGCACATTTCCTGTGTGGCTATGGGCTCATTTAGCCTTTATTCTCTTGCTAGGTTCGTATTGTGGGCTGTGCATTACCCTAGCCACACACTTTGAGAAAGATAATGCCTGCCAGGTAACGGAAAATCCATCTTCTCAAAAATAAGTCTGGCCAAATTTTATGCTTTTTATTCTGCTGTAACTTATATGAAAATCCTGCTTCTGCCATTTTGTTTTTAATAATACATTTTATCTGTCTCAGTTACCACACGAAAAAAGCTACTACATTTTTTTGCAGGTGATTTTTAAAAATTCAGCAGCTGTCTATTAAGTAGACCTTAAGAAAAAATACCATTTTAAAAACTATCTTTTACCATGTATTCTTATAACTATTAAAATTGATGTTAATGTCTATTATAATATTATCTAATGCTATATAATGAGAACCCATCTATGCTTTTCTGAAAATATCCTGGCTTACAGATCTATCCAGCTTGAATTTTACTAATATAACTCCAATCATCATTCATTTTTGGTGTATAAATAAAAAAAGCACAACACAGCTAAATGGTTTTAAATGTATATTTAATCCCTATGGCCTCATTATACTTGATACCTTGTACCAAGGTAAGTAAATACAAGTATGGAAGAATAAATAAGTTAACAGATGAATGGATGGATGAATAGATAATACATAACTCTGTTAAAGCGTATTTAAAAACACCTAACTTATTGACAGATTGTTTGAAGCAATAAGCTTAGATTATTCTGTAACTTATAACATCTGATAAATTTACATTTTTTGCATAGTGCTCATATAACGAGAGGTATTCTATCTGTAACTAAATAAAAACAGTAAAATACCTTTAAAAGCAAACAAATATATTTCCTTCTTTTTTTTTTTTTTTTGAGATGGATTCTCTCCCTATTCCCCAAGCTGGAGTGCAATGGCACGATCTCGGCTCACTGCAACCTCCCCCTACCAGGTTCTAGTGATTCTCCTGCTTTAGCCTCCCAGGTAGCTGGGATTACAGGTGCCCACCACCAGGCCTGGCTAATTTTTGTATTTTTAGTAGAGACGGGGTTTCACCATGTTGGTCAGGCTGGTCTCAAACTCCTGACCTCCAGTGATCCACCTGCCTCGGCCTCCCTTTTCCTTCTTTCTTAAACATGTGCATATTTGTTGTAAGTGTTTGACATTTTCTGGCTATGTTTTTCTATTAAAGATCTTCCTTGAAAAAAAGTTTCAAAAATGGTTTTTTAAACTCCAACTTTTAAAATAAAAATGACATGTAATGGTAACTTTCAAAGTTATTGTTGATATGTGATATATTTTACAAAACTGAGAAATATATGTTAAATTTTAAAACATCAAATAAACACTTTGAGGATTGTGTTTAAATCTGTATTATTTTCTGCTACATTTTGTGGCTTAATTCTGTGAAGTTTTACTCTGCAGTTGTATTTTGCGGCTATTTTGCTACGAATAATTTGTCAATTTTTTCTATTTTCCATGGAATTTAAATTAAAGACAATCAATTTCTCATTTATGAGAACAGGGCAGTATCACCTTTATATTGTAGTTAAAATAACAAAAGATAGAGAAATCACATCGTTTTCTAAGGAATGGAAAAAAATTGTATCTTTCCTCTCTGGCATTTCTGGATGCTGTTTTATAATGTTTTTTAGATTTAGTCAGCATTTTTGAAAATTGTACAGATTAGAAATCTCTTAAGAAGTGCCCTGACAGCAAGAAAAGCCATGTTATCTTCTATTCATAAAAAAGATCATTTTGGAAAGGTACTTTCCTTCAGTAGCTTTTGGAGGCTTGGGCTTGTTTATATAATGTAGCTGCAAAATAACATTTTCAGATAAATTTTAAAAACTACAGAAATGTAAATAAATTGTATAGTGCCAACAAATAGGACTGTTAATAAATGATAGGAAATGTCTTAAATGTACAAATCCAGAAATATTACTGGCATATCATAGTGAATTATAAATGCAGAGGTAACCTGGGGGCAGATAGAAAGAGAACAGAATTTGAGAACTACAACATTTATCTTATAATGGTATACAAAAATCAGGAGAAAAAGTTCCCCAGGTATTGTAGGAACTTATACAACTTATATTAGTATTCTGGAGCATGACCAAATTGGTAGTTCACCGATTATTTTGGCCTTTACCTATCATTAGGTTGCCTAGGCGAACACCAAAATTTTTCTGGGTTAGCAAAGCTACCAGGTCATAGGAGGGAAATTCTGACCAATCACTTCCATATTATGCCTTTTGAAAATTCTAAACACAGAAATTATGTTAGAATTTGAAGCCAGCAAATTAATTGTGATTGGAAAAGTGTCATTTTCATACCTAAACCTGTTCATTTTAATCTCTCTTCTCATTTACTCTCATTCAGTTATTTCTCAGTTGCTTAATAATTAAAATAATTATTAAGTATGCATATATCACACTTACAAATTAAGAAGTTGGCCTCTTATACATTATCTCAATCTCTGCCAAATGTAGACTTGCCTTCCTCTCACTTTTTTCTTGTTTACAGTTACCTTGCATTTCATGGAGTATTGGAAGACTCAGTTTCACCCCATTCATCTTTCAAGGATCAGCTCAAATATTATATTTTCTAATACCACAGGCAAAAATCATTGACTATCCATCAAGACAGATTCTTGACTGAATTTTTAAAAATACGTTTCTACATGTTTTGAATTAAAAATTAGGACCAGTAACCCATATAAATATACATGTATCTTCAAAACTTAACATGTGATGTCTTTAATATTGATAAAACTATCTTATCCATGTACATTATCCATGTACATAAGAGTCATAGAAATGAAGACCAAAAATTCCACCCAAAGAATAATATTAATTCTTGTTGTGGGAAGCGAGGGACCCTGAACAGAGGGAGTGGCTGGAGCCACGGCAGAGGAACATAAATTGTGAAGATTTCATGGATATTTACCAGTTCTCAAATAATACTTTCATAATTTCTTATGCCTGTCTTACTTTAATCTCTTAATCCTGTTATCTTTGTAAGCTGAGGATGTATGTCACCTCAGGGCCACTATGATAATTGTGTTAACCACACAAATTGATTGTAAAACTTGTGTGTTTGAACAATATGAAATCAGTGCACCTTGAAAAAGAACAGAATAACAGTGATTTTCAGGGAACAAAGGAAGACAACCATAAGGTCTGACTGCCTGCAGGGTCGGGCAAAATAGAGCCATATTTTTCTTCTTGCAGAGAACCTATAAATGGATGTGCAAGTAGGGAAGATATTGCTAAATTCTTTTCAAGGAATATTAATAATTAATACCCTGGGGAAGGAATGCATTCCTGGGGGGAGGTCTATAAACGGCCACTCTGGGAGTGTCTGTCTTATGCGGTTAAAATAAGGACTGAAATACATCCTGGTCTCCTACAGTACCCTCAGGCTTACTAGGGTGGGGAAAAACCCCACCCTGGTAAATCTGAGGTCAGACCAGTTCTCAGCTCTCGAACTCTGTTTTCGGTTGTTTAAGATGTTTATCAAGACAATACGTGCACCGCCGAACATAGACCCTTATCAGTAATTCTGCTTTTGCCCTTTGCCTTGTGATCTTTGTTGGACCCTTATCAGGACTTTCTGATTTTGTCCTTGTCCTGTTTCCTCAGAAGCATGTGGTCTTTTTTCTCCTTTTTGCCCTTTGAAGCATGTGATCTTGTGACCTACTCCCTGTTCTTGCACCCCCCTCCCCTTTTGAAATCCTTAATAAAACTTGCTGGTTTTGTGGCTCAGGTGGGTATCATGGTCCTACCAATATGTGATGTCACCCCCGGAGGCCCAGCTGTAAAATTCCTCTCTTTGTACTTTTTCTCTGTATTTCTCAGCTGGCCGACACTTATGGAAAATAGAAAGAACCTACGTTGAAATATTGGGGGTGGGTTCCCCTGATAAATTCTTTCTTTCAGAGCACTAAAAATGTTTTGAGTAAAAAGGGAAGAAAAACAAGCTATCAAAATAAAGTCTCAGTGATATGCCACTTAGTTATGCTGTATAACTTCACATTAAAATTAAAATCCCACATTTTAAAATTCTCTGTGTTCTTGGGCTGCTTGATATTTGACTTAAAAGCAGTTAATTAAAGAGCAGTAATTTTAAAAAGTAGTAAATGGGGTTTCAGTTTTGTCTTTGTTCATTTGTATGGGTGCTGGATTGTTGATTAGTTTCTTAATGGGAATCTTTTAACTTAAATGGGAATGTGTAAGACAATGAAATTATGTGAAGCCTAGAGCAGCTTAAAAAACTGTCTTGTGCTCTAGTGATGTTATCACTTTATAGTAATATATTAGATTTCTCCCAAGAAGCTCAAGATCCTTTCAGTATTTCTCCTAATAGTAAAGTAGGGCAGGTGTACAGAGGGGAAATAGAACGTCTATACACCAATAATGGGAAAATTGAAAGAAAAAATAAGATACTTTATATCTATGTGAAACAGGATCAGAAACCAGGTCTCCTTTAGCTACTTTGGTACAGAATGAATGGTGCTCACACTTACAATTTTACTACCATTTACTTTGGAACACTCCACAGTGTAGAAACGGGCTCAGCATAAATGCTAAATATATCAATACAAATACTTCATGTTATGATGATTATATTTGGTCATTTCCCTTGGGATCACGTCCTAAGATGGTTATTTTATAACACTTTAATATAAATGCTTAACCTTTAAAAATCTAGTTCTTTTGGAGAAAATCCCAGATGTGCATACAATTAGAAGCAACATCAAATATTTTGTGTTGCCAGATCACTAATTAAATTCCTGCACATAACCTTTTTCTTCCTGAAATGCAACATTTACTAAATTATTTTATAATTATGCAAACAATGTTTTGTATAGCTTTTGCATTTTAATGAGTTTGGGGGAAACCAATTTAGAATTAAATCAGATTCTGAAAAAAACATGTGTTGTACTAAAGAGCTGCTGTCTAATTGTAATAACACTCTCTACCTTCCATGAGTCTGTAATTCCTTTGCCATTTAAAACGTCACAAATTTTCTGCTTAATTTTTGTTTTACTGCCCTTTTATGGGAAGATGTTTCAATATTTAAATTCACAAAAGACACACAAGAATCTTCCAAAGTGAGGAAAAACAGTTCTCTCTCCCATAACCTTTTCTTTAATATTACCATTCAAACAATGAGAACACTTGGACACAGGGTGGGGAACATCACACACCAGGGCCTGTTGTGGGGTGGGGGGAGTGGGTAGGGATAGCATTAGGAGATATACCTAATGTAAATGACGAGTTAATGGGTGCAGCACACCAACATGGCACATGTATACATATGTAACAAACCTGCATGTTGTGCACATGGACCCTAGAACTTAAAGTATAATAAAAAATAAATAAATAAATAAATAAATAAAATAATAAATAATATTACCTTTCAAAAATGTTTCTAGTGCTCCTAAATTCTATTTGGTTAGATTAGCCTTCAGTACACTCAAAGTCCAGGGATCAAAGTAGGCAAAAATATAATGCCCAACTTTATTTCCTTGATTTCATCAATAATTTCATCAGACATTATACATAACAGTATTCTATTAATAGGACTAAACATGTATTACTTGTTAAATAAAATGAAATTTATGTAGCAGTGGAATAATTATCTTAAAACGTTGGACTTTTAAAATTTGTTAAATATCTTTAGCCCTCTTTTGATTTCCTGTTTTTCAGAATGTAATGAGTATAAATGACCTGTAGGAAATGACAAACTTATGTCTCAAGGAATCCTATAAATAATCTGAATGAATAGCTCAAGTTGTGGCAAAAATTATGGGAAATATTTGGTATTTTAGCCATCTGAGCCTTCAACTAATGACTTTGTACCATGATCTGCTGTAAAGCAGAAAAATATAGAGGAACAGACAAAGAGGAGTCTAAGTTATTATAGGACTAAGAATACCAGATAGATACAAGCACATACATATGTAGGTATGTATGTATGTATGTATGTGTATGCACAATCATTGAAGATGTACATCTTTAAAAACATTACTTCTGAGACTTTTAAGTTTTGGTACAGTTCTTTCATTTTACTTACTTAATATTGACCTCCTACCATCAAACTTCTTTTAAGTATAAAGGTGAAAGAAAAAGATACTTAGAGAATGTAGAATTCAACACACAAGAACTGCTTAAAAGTTACCATACATACGGTAAAAGACACTAGCTGGAAGTTTGGAAATGTAGAAGAGAAATAAGGGCAATAAAAGAGTCCAATGTGGGTAAATCTAATATTGGATGCATAAAATGGTAACAATGTCTCCTGCTATTCTAAAAATATATGGAATAATATGTGTGCACATATATCTGAAAGGGATTAAATGCAGTTAAATATTTATGACCTTTACCTTGCCTGGAATGTGTAACAAGTACCAATTTCTATTAAAACATGGAAAGCTAATTACAAGTATTGCAATCCCTAGGTTAAGCACTTAAAGTGTAGTGAAAGCAAGTGTTAATATCAATAAAGGGGAAAGTGGACTGACAAAATAATCAGTCGAAAATAATGAATAAAATAGAAAAATATAACATAGAACAGATGAAACAAAAAATAGCGTAGGCATATATTTAAACCTTAATATAAACCAACTACATAAAATGAAAGTAGGTGAAGTCTCCAAATGAAAGACAAAGGCAAAAGTAGTATCCCATAAATACAGGTTAAATAAGAAAATATGTTTATTTTATATGAATATGGGTTGAAATAAACAAGATAAAAACTTTTGAATATATGCTAAATCATATGGCTGAAATTTTTAAAGTCAAAATTTTAGAACTATTTGAAACTTATTAAAACTAACTGGCATGAGGACCTCTAACTCATTCATATTGGGTTTGTGTGTATGTATATACATTTATGTTTATTATAAATACATGTAAATGTTATATAGTAAAATTTCCAACTTTTTGCTATGCTTTAAAACCACACAAGAGTATCATATATAGATTGAAACATTGCCTTTTCTCTTGAGCACTACTCCCAAATATGTGGATATGTTATATTTGAGGTGGCATCAAAATATCGCTTTCTGAAAAATTTATTCAGGTAATTCTTACCCCCAGCCTGATATATATATCATAGAAAAAGACATTTTAAAGTATATGCATAAGGTAAATTTCTTCCTAATATCCAAGAACTATTAAAAAATTATCACGTGCTAAGCCAAGTGTAATGGATGAGTCATAAGAATCCAACATTCGTAACTCCTCCCTCAATCCACACGTTACTAACAAATCATAGCAGCATTTCTGCCAAACTTTAGGAATTTTTCTCAGCACCCTTCCTTTCAGTTCTCTTGGTAGACACTAGAAATTCCCTACAATTGAGATAATGATAAGAAATAATTTTACATTTCTGTATTTTTCAAAAACAATTAAGAGCAAAAATATACCAAAAAGCAATGATTAGTAATCCAATTCTGTATTAATGATACAATGACACTGAAAATTAGTAACAAAAGAGTAAAAAATATTGCCAAGTAAATTTAGAAGTTTTGTCTTTCAAATGCCATATTTAGACATAAATGAAAATGAAAATCAAGTCTGAAATAACAGTCTATTTGGAAAATAGTACAAATAAGAAACTTTCATTTAATATTTTTAGAAAACAGGCAAAACAATAACCAAAGTATTTGTAGCTCCAAACTTGTTATTATTAAATAACAAAGAAAATAATAAATTGACTAAGGGTTAACAAAAAAGCAAAAATTAAAGAACACAAAGCATTGTAAAGTTTAGTAAAGATGAAGAAGCGATTCTATCATTAAACATATAAAGTATTAAATAAAAAGCAGAGAAAATCTTGAGAATAAATCTACGAAAATAAGTTCTTGAAAATAACAATGATATGGCCAGGCACGGTGGCTCACACTTGTAATCCCAGCACTTTGAGAGGCCAAGGCAGGTGGATCACTTGAGGACAGGAGTTCAAAACCAGCCTGGCCAACATGGTGAAACGCCGTGTCTACTAAAAATACAAAACAATTAGCCGGGTGTGGGGCAGGTGCCTGTAATCTCAGCTACTCTGGAGGCTGAGGCAGGAGAATCACCGAACCCAGGTGGCAGAGATTGCAGTGAGCCCAGATCACGCCATTGCAATCCAGGCTGTGCAACAAGTGCGAAACTCTGTCTCAAAAAAAAAAAAAAGAAAAAAGAAAGAAAATAACAATGATATGAAGAAAACTCTAGCTATTATAATGAGAAAATACAAAAGATGAAAAAAATTGATTTTGATTTTATGTCTATGTTTTTTCCTCTTGCTTTATTCGTTTTTGATTGGAACAGCTAGAATTTTACCTATCATCGAATTGTTATCCTATGACAATTATACTTTTAAATGCAAATGATATTATAAGTATCTCCAGTAATATACATTAGCAAATTCTTAGCAAACCCTAAGGCATTTTAAAAATTTTTCTAACCATTACAATTTATCCCACTTTATTTAAAATATTTTAGACTTTAGAGTCAGAAGTGCTTTCCATATCTCTGTACAAAGTCAGCACAAGATTGTAAGGCTGAAAACAGAACTTCTAATAAACACATCTAAAATAACAAAATTGTTAGTGCATGAGTATGTGTAATTTGCAAAATCTTTAAAAATTATAAAAGTAAATTGTCAGTGTATTAAACAGATATTTTGCTATATTATTACTTCCCCTTCTATTCCTTTTTAAAGTGCTTTAAATTAGAAATGATATCATCTTATTTATCGTTTCCTTAATACCAAGCCAACACCATGTTTAATAACAAAACCTAAAGTTTTTTGAAACTCAGGAACAAAAAAATGGATGTTTACTCTCACCACTGATATTGTACTTTGTGTTGGAAATTTGATCAAATGGTATTAAACAGCAGCATAATACCAATTAAGTAAATAATAAAAAGAAAATAAAAACCATATTTACGGATATGATTCTCTCTAGAAATAATAAGAAAAGTTGTATCTTTAAATTATAAAGAACTATAGCAACTAAGCAAGATACACTTATCAGAAAAAAAGGTAAAAAGCCTGTAAAAACTTCACTTTGTAAGTACTCAATCTTTTTTGCTGCTGCAAGAAGTGAAAATCAAAATGAGATATAACCTGATACATAAGAATGGAGGAAAGTCAAAACCATAATGATTAATAATTGGCATGGTGAATGTGTAAACAAAATGGTACTCCTACACACTGTCGGTGAGAGTGTAAATGAGGACAGAGAATTTGGTTGTACCAAATCAACAACCACTCACATGTATTTTTTTTTTTGATTTAGCAATTTTCTTCAGGTTAGGTGCATTCATTTAAATAAATACTTTGAAGCCATTAAAAGTGAGGTTGCATATTTATCTTATTGATATACAGTGATGGTCAATATTCATGTGTAATTTTTTAAAAAGGAGGTTATAAACATATGTACATGAAATCCATTGTTTACTTTTCATAAAGGAGATTGTTCTTTCCACGACATGAAAGGGTAGGAAGTTGACAAAAACTAAAGGAAAATGCTTCAGGAGCTCACCTCTGGGAATTTAGGGATGAATTCTCCTAGAGACAGATCAGCTTCATGGTGACTCATCTTTGGAGTCTACTAAAAGAGTTATGTTGCTTCAAAGATGAGGCTCATTTTCATAAGGAGCCAAATTCTTAGTAAATCGAAAGAGCGGGATCCTGCTTCTACCTTCAATAGAGATCTTAAGCCACTAGCTGAGTGGCTTAAGAGCCAGTATGGCTGAATATAGTGCAGAGTGATGAAATTGAGCTTGACGTGATCCTACAATATGTCTTGAAAGCCCTGAGCAGACACCAAAGGTTAATGGAATTTTTATGAAGAGGGGGATGTACATGCAGCTCCATGAGAGACAGAATATACAGGGATAAATGACACCAACAAAAACACAGTGAATTTAAGGCACAACCCCAGTGACTAAAATCAAACAAACAGAAAATCTTTTCTGAAGGACAACAACAATATCATGGTAAATTTTGGGGAAAACAATGAATACCAGCAACAGGCTTATATAATAATTCCTACTTTCTCCTCTTAGGCATAAATTTAAAAAGAAAATATTATATACAAAATGAAAGTAATTATCTAAGATATAAAAATCAATGTTATTTGTGCATTGGTGTTTTTAAAATATCAGAACACAAAATAGGCTACACTATAAATTTATTTTCTGTAAAACTATCCGTGAGGTCATAACAGAATTGGTGATTATAATGGCTAGGTTAATTCAATGTCTATTCAAAGTAGAGAGACTGGAATGCGAAGGGAAACACTCAAGGGTAAAAATCTATGCCAGGCACAGTGGCTCACGCCTGTAATCCCAGCATTTTGGGAAGCCGAGGCTGGCGGATCACCTGAAGTCAGGAATTCAAAACCAGCCTGGCCAACATGGTGAAACCCCATCTCTACTAAAAATACAAAAAATTAGCTGGGTGTGGTGGCAACACCTGTAATCCCAGCTACTAGGTAGGCAGAGGTTGCAGTGAGCCAAGATCTCACCATTGCACTCCAGCCTGTGTGACAAGAGCGACACTCCATCTTAAAATAAATAAATAAATAATCTAGCTAATTGGGTCAGTTTTGAACACCTAATATGAAGTAGTTCAATTCTTAAGTGGACGAGATAGTCTAGGGCAGTGTGATCACCCCAGTGAATGCTCTAGAAGTACGAAGGCACCTAGAAGTTTCTCTCTTTGTATATACCTCCTTTTTCCCCCCCTTTAGGTACTTATAGACTGATTTAGGGAAAATGAAACTATAACATGAAGGAATATAGAACAGTGAAAATTAGGCATCAATAATTGACACTGTATAGTGGGAGCTGGGTTCCAGCTGAAATGCAAACATGGTTGAA